>NC_000004.12:94375926-94678956 GCF_000001405.40 Homo sapiens | reverse complement strand
GTTAAACTATTTATCATTAGAGTGAAGTGAAAGCCATTAAAATGGTCTAACAAGCCCTGTCTGGCCTCCCCAAGCCCCTCTCCTCCCCAACCTCCTTGCTCTCTTGCTTCCTCCAGCCACCCTGGCTCTTTGCTGTTCTTTGAACATGCCAAGCTTTCTCCTTTGCCTGGAGCAACCTTCTCCCAAATATCCACATGGGTCCCTCCCTCACTTCCTTTGGTTTACCCATTCCTATACTCTGTCCCTCACCCTTCTTCATCATGCTCCATTTACCATCTGATATTCTGTATATTCAGTTGCTAGTTAGTTTATTCTAGTTCATTTATGCTGTTCCAATTAAAATGGCCTGTGCTTTTGCACTTGCTGGTTAGACCTTATATTGATACAGGAATGTATATGCATTTGCTACATCTCTAATATGTTACATGGAATTAGAAGTAATGTAATTTTGCTGTTTTTTTAGGCGACCTCTTGGTCCTTAAACTTGCTTCTGAGTCCTCTGAGATGGAAGAAACTAAAAAAATAAGACTAAATATCATTGTAGCAGAATGTCTCTCTCCTGACTGGAATGTCAGCTTTAAGAAGGTAGAGACCTGTGCTTTGTTTATTGCTAGATCCCAGTGACAAATATGGTGCATGGTAAAGTCTAGTTGCTCCACATATCTTTGTTCAATAAATGAATGCGTGAAAGGGTGAAAGAGGCACCAACATATGTGGTTCATATTCTTTCAACTCCCTTGCAGAAACTTGTTCTGGGATGACAGTATTCTGCTCTTAGAAAGTGTTGATTAAAAAAACATGACTTTATGTAAATGATGGTCTTCCCTACCCATTCAGAGTTTGAAAACATGGGCCGTTTTGTTGCCCAATGTCTCTTACAGAAGGATCAACACAATAAATTCCTTCAAGAATCCAGGGCTTGGTGATTTCTCCAGAGTAACACTTATTTGCATCTTTTGAAACTGACTGTGCAGACCACATAACACTTTTCTCTTAGCTTAGCTGCCAGGAAAATAATTTAATACCACTGTTGCTACTAAGTCATGGAAAGTGTGTGTGTGTGTGTGTGTGTGTGTGTGTGTGTGTGCATGAGCCTGCACAGGATGCTGCTCTAATTAAAATGACCTGTGCTTTTGCACTTGCTGGTTAGACTTTATATTGATACAGGAATGTATATGCATTTGTTACCTAAGATGTTATACAGAATTAGAAGTAATGTCATTTTGCTGTTTCCTAGGAGACTTCTTGGTCTTTGAAATTGCTTCTGAGTCCCCTGAGATGGAAGAAACTAAAAAATAAGACCAAATATCATTGTACTAGAATAAACCTAAAGGAGAGCCATCTGCCAGACCATGGGCAGATGAGAGAGAGAGAGAAAGAGAGAGAGGGAGAAATGAGTAATTAAAAGAGAAGGACCAGTACTGATGGAAGTAGGGGAAGATTGCATGCTATGGCCTCAAAACTAACCCAACGGTATCCTGGAATATCCATTACTCAGTGGAGTACAGCATTCATGTTGGCCTCTGTCCAAGCAGGTTTAGTGGGAAAAGTATTAACACCTGCAAGGTGGTCCCACAGCAAGGTCCCTGAGGACAGAGGTTCCAGTATAGCTGGGGAAGGCAGGAGGAATAGGCTGATCCCAATACCACAGAGCCTGCTGCTAAGTGACAAGGCACTATATCATATAACAAACTGCAGCTTTAGAATGGGAGATGCTGGAGGAATGATTGAAACCCATGCATCCCACAGATGGACATGGAATGAGCGAGCAGGGCTGCCCTTGGAGAACATAATCTACATACCAGAACAGGCACGGGTTTGTTTAGGTATAAGCCATGGCAACAAATTTTAGCTTTGCAGCTCTCAGAACAGCTGTACAGCAGGGCCCTTGGGCAAGGCCAGCAATGGCTTTCCTGGACTCCCTACTCTGAGTTCTGTTGTATTATATCTTCAAACAGCACCTAAGTGTTAAACCTTCAGTTCATTTGCACAGCACAGCTAAGAAAACAAAGCAACTCCCAGACCTCCCCGTGTGGCTGCAAGACAACCTTTCCACTTACCTCCTCTCCCAGAGTGAAGCAGTTTTCAATAGTTTGAAAAGAAAAAAAAAAATCTGCCTATTAGTTTTAAGGGGGAAAGCATTGAAGAAATGGATTACGATTTAAAACAAAAACAAAACTATTATTTAGGAGAAGCCAAAGTCATTGTGGGGAGTTTGATTGGATGTGCATCAAACAGCACAGACCCTCAATCCCCCACAGCTGGTTTAATGTGCGATTAGAAGAAATGTAGGAAGCTTTCAGCTAAGTCAGTTACAAATCTTGTTTCTGAGAACTTGAGGAATCCAGAGGCCTTTCGGTGGTTTTGCAAGTTAGAGGTATCTTCTGCTAAAAAATTAAGAAATTAAAGTGCCCGATGCTTACTTCCTGCTTGTTTCATATATTGAGTTCTCAAGGTGTTTTTAAAAGAGTCACTTTTGCCTTTTTAGTAATAGCCATTCTGTGCTTTAAAAAAAAATGTGTTCACATGGACATAGAGAGTAGAATGTTAGGTAATGGAGACTTGGAAGGGTGAAGGGCTAAGGGTGAGAGCCAGGAAGACGATGATGTGGAATTGTTTAAAGGGGCAATGTTAATCAGTTGATACATACCCTAAAAGTCCTAATTTGACCACTATGCATGTAACAAAATTGCACATGGACCCCTAAATTTGTACAAATAAAAAGGAGGCCGGGTGAGATGGCTCACACCTATAATCTTAGCACTTTGGGAGGCTGAGGCAGGTAGATCACTTGAGGTCAGGAGTTCGAGACCAGCCTGGCCAACATGGTGAAACCCCGTCTGTACTAACAATACAAAAAAAAAATAGCTGGGTGTGGTGGTGTGTGCCTGTAACCCCAGCTACTCAGGAGGCTGAGGCAGGAGAATCGCTTGAACCTGGGAGGTGGAGGTTGCAGTGAGCCGAAATTACGCCACTGCTGTCCGACCTGGGCAACACAGCGAGACTCTGTCTCAAAAAAAAAAAAAAAAGAAAAAGAAAAAAAAAAAGAAAAAAAACCCTAAAATTAAAAGGAAACTAATTTAAAAAACAAAAGAGTTATGAAAGAACGGTAGAAGACCTACCAATCTAGTCAATTTTTATAGAGAAGAAAGCTCTGTTCAAACCCGGTCAAGTGACTTTTGCAGTATCAGAAAAATATTAAGTGACCAGCAGGCCAAAGACACAAATCCATTGCCTCTGACTCAGTGCATGCTCCTCTGTAACTCACTCCTGCCACACTTCCATGAGGTTTATTGTTAAATATTAGAGAAATGAGCATTCCTAATCTGG
Organism: Homo sapiens; assembly: GCF_000001405.40. Taxonomy (NCBI): domain Eukaryota; kingdom Metazoa; phylum Chordata; class Mammalia; order Primates; family Hominidae; genus Homo; species Homo sapiens. Next base: position 94,675,626 of record NC_000004.12, on the reverse strand, counting down.
AATGATGAAAAAAATCTACCATTAAGATTAAACTGAATTCCAAATTCCCTTGCAGGGCTTACATCCATTGCTGGCATTTAGTGTTCTGGCTCCGCCAACAGCCCATGCAGGATCTGTTGTACCAGTTTTACTTTTCACTAGTGTCATAGAAATTCTAAAAGAAAAAAAAAATGATGAAAAAGCCTTGCAAAGTTCTCAGAGCAGATCATACTTTTCTATGTATCTAAAATCGAAGCATGATTCCCTGATTTTAGACTCCAGAGGAGGAGAGAAAACATTGGGCTTTACCTTCAGGCTCACAAGGTTCCTCAGCATTCTGTTTTGTGATATCTAAGCCAGACTCTCAAGTGTGGTCTGTGGACCAGAAGCACCAGCATCATCTGGGAGCTTGCCGGAAATGCACACGTATTGGCCCCACTCCACTCCAGCTGAATCAGAATATCTGGAGGTGGGCCCCAGGTGAGTCATTGAACACAATCCCCAGGTCCTTTGTTCGCATACTAAGGTGAGAAGTGTTGGTCTAAATCTAGAACAGGTGCTTCCCAAAGAGTGCTCCCAGACCAGCAGGATCAGCTTCACCTGGGAACTCGTTGGAGATGCAGAGTTTCATCCTGCTCCAGACCTTCTAAATCAGAAACTCTGGGGGTTGGCCCAGCAATCCAATTTTAAGAAGCCCCCCAGAAGATTCTGATGTAAACCAAAGTTTGAGAACCACTGGTCTAAAATGTGAAGAGAGGCACAACTCAGGACATTCACCCTAAACAAACAGAAGGGATAAACCAGTGTTTCCCAAATTGCATTATGTAGAATAGGTGTTCTTTAAGTAAAGTGTGCATGGTCAAATATATTTTCGAAATATGTAGCTAAAACTGTGCACGACTACTCAGCTTAAAGATGTATTATGAATATCTGAGATAAGACAGTTGATGGTAATCCCCAATTTATTTGGGATCACTTAAGATTTAAGCAATAGCAATCCATTCATGTATTTCCTAATATGTCTCATTTTCTGAACAAAAGATTAAAAATTTGAATTTGTTTTTTGAGTATCACCTCATCTGTATTCTAGGAAAAAGGGCTGAATATGTTGTCTGAAGCTCTGGTAGTTTCACACGCACTATCTCATTTGTGTCACTATGGTTCTTCAAGACTGAGTATTATCCTCTAAGATGATGAGGGGACACACTAATGAAGAAATGCAGGTTCAACCAAGTTACGTAGTTTTTCCAAGGCCAGAAGATTCCTAAGTGAGGGAATATTGGTTAGAGTTGATCAACTGGACAATTGCCCAGGGTGCCAGTCCATGAGAAGCTCTAAGACATTGCTGGAAACATTACAAGATGGAAATGACAGGGTGGTTCTTGGTGAGAGAACTTTGTGGGGCTGGATGTGCTATTCTGATAAGCAGCTTAGAGTCAGGGATTGAGACTCCTAAGAGAGATTGTGGAGCAACACCAGGTAATTCCTGGCCAAGGGCCACTTTCCTGAGTGTCAGGGGAAAGTGTGGGGCAGAGCTAGGTGATCAGAGTACTTAACAGACTGATCTTTGTTCCCAGTTATTCTCTATTTCCTCCCTCCTCACGACAAAGTGCTCGGTCTTCCCTCTACACAAATGTGGAATAATAATTTAACAAAGCAACATAATTGACTTGAAAGGGATCCAAATTATTAGCCAGTCTGTGGCACTCCTACATATAAATTCAACCTGAGTATCATCAAGATTCATGCTCAGGTGGGTTTTTAAATGCCAGGACCTGTGTTAAGCATACAGGTGTTAAGCATAAAAGGAAAAGATAAACAAGATCTTTTCCTTTTAAGAATTTGACTGTTATATTTACATATAATTGTTACATTCAATTACTACTGGTTAATGCTTCTACTTTAATAGCAGTTTAAGTTGGTTTTGAGATAAACTGTAATCCTTGAACATATTCCATTGGCTACCCATCATACTGGTGTGAGAATGAAATTTATTGGTAGGAGAGTGAACTTTATTACAATCCTTTCAGGAGAGATTCTTCAGTGATTTTTTTTTTTTTGTTTTTAAAATTTTGGGTAACTAAATATTTTCAGGACCCTTTGTTACAACTTAGAACTCAGGCAAGCGTTCCAACAAAGTCCTAGATCTTAAATGAGAGTAAAGTCAACTCACACAGGTTTCTGAAATATAATAAATGTAACAGAAGTCTAAAACACTATTTCATCAATGTTATTTTAGTTTGAACCAGTTTAAGAGCCTAAACACTTAAGATTTAAGTCACAGCAGTCCATTCACATATTTCCTAATATGTCTCCTTTTCTGAACGAAGGATTAACAACTTGAATGTAAGAAGCAGGTGTGAGTACTCTCAATAGGTCAAATCCTTAACACCACCCAGACAAGTCTACAATTTCTGGGCACAGTACACGGCATGCGTGAATTTTGTTTCAATGTTTTCCATAGCTATAGCTTAGAAAGTCACATAGCCATATCCTACCCAGACTTCCATTCCTAGTGGCAGAAGTATTTGCTGATGATTAAAAGGTCATGCAAAACAGATGTGAGGGCAGCTGGATTTTCCAGCTATGCTTCAGTGGACTTAGCAGTGGTGCCTGTCATTACCAAATAGTAGAGAGATTTTATTTCAATTGAATAAAACCAAGAATCTTATGCAACCTTGTCAATATAATTGGGCATACATGCAGTTTCTCTCCCCTCTCATGGAGGTCTCATCTTTTCCATCCTTCATTTTTCAGACTCACAGTCTGGAACTAAATCCATCAAACAGGAAAGGTAACAATTAACTGGGTGTCAACCATTCTGACCTGTTTTTCCAACATCTTATAAATAGGTATTATTGACCTTGCTGTGTGAAAGTAATTTTAATTGGATTTCCTACAGTCTTCTAATTTGTTTGATACCACATTTGGCGTTATCCACACTTCAAATCAACTTTCTCTCCTTATTTCTGTGGTTGTTTTATATCCACAGTGTATAGACTGTGAAATGTAGTGAAAACACAAAGAACAGCAAATGGTGCGTTGCAGAGAGGACTATCAATTCACAAATACCCTTGAAGAACAGATGGTCCAATTGCAAACCTCACAGATATTGACATCTGTGTAGCAGGCAACTGCACAAGTCATACAGAGACAGTCTTTAAGTTTTACATACTGTAGCAAAACTAAATACTTTTTAACAATATCCTTTACCAACTTAATATATGGGAATTGTCCCTTATTAATAAGAAGGACCTTAAGGGAATGTGGATAAAGTAATAAATTTCCTTCCTGGGCTATTAGAAAGTCTAAGTCTCAGATTTGCTTTAATAACTGTTTTTAGAGACTCATTTCGCTGAGTTTCCATTTTCTCATCTGTAAAATGTAGATTTAAAAATACTTGACTCTCAGAGTTTCTCCAATTTAGAACTTTACAGTATACTAGTGTACCAAGTAATATAGCACACAAATTACAAAGACAATACAACAAATGTAAGCTGTCATTATAGATCTGCTGGGCTTGAGCCCTTCATGGTTTAGTTTATTGTGAAGGGGGAACTTGTTAATCTCCTTGCTTTCTATTGCTAAATATGAAAATCATTCATTTTTTTTTCTCTATGACAAGGACTGGAGTTTATATAGAAAAGCTTCTATAAACTGAAATCACAGTTAACTAACATAAGCCTTCAATTAAGAATGTTTTACTCATTTTAACTGTAGGAAAAGCATTACAGTAAAACAAAATGAACTAAAAAAGAAAAAAGAACCTTCAGTTATATCTTATATACATCCAACTAAATCTCTTAAATATTCAGGACTAGTTATACTGAATATTTAGACCTTGAAAAACACAATCAATGCAACGTTGTTTACTTTGCACATTGAAAGCATATTAATGAGAGGATTTTTGACAAGAAAGGACAAAGTTAGAAGAATTTCTTGTTTGACTTTATAATTCACCAAGTATATGCAGTGACATTCTGGATAATGGAAGCTTCAGTATAGTTGAGAATCTAGTTTCTATTTTGCATTCAAGAGTGCCAATTATCAATTTACTGACTTGCACATCCAAATTGCACCATTTACTCTTCAGTACCAACTTTGTGATATTAATCATTTCTACTTTACAGTGATCATGATGCTTTGTCCCAAGGTAGCAGAAGGACTATTCCAGAAGGGGCCTCTCTTCCTGGATCTAGGTGTTGCATTTGTTTTTTTCTGTGTGGTCCATCAGAGCGCATGTGTGTGGAGACAACTGGTGGAGTTCTGCCCCAGCTGTGCTTCCAGAGTGCACAGACCCTCAGGAACTTCACATCCCGGGCTGGGGCCTTCACATCACCTTAGGAACTTCACATCACCTTGCTTCATGACATGGGTACTGTGTATTCCAGGCCTGTGCCCACAGCGGCACCCAACTCTTTCTGTGCACTCACCCATCAATCTTGTCTGCATTCCAGAGAATTGTTGCCTTGTCCGCGGAACCTCAACAACACAGAGAACTATTATTTAGTGGGCTGAAACCACTTTCTCCAAAAAGGTCCTACCCCCAGCCATGAGGAGGGCATCTCCTTCTAAGCTTGTCTTCTTTGGGTCCTCTCTCAGCCCCAGGCTGTCCTTTAGAGGTCACTTCATATTTTTAGTTACTCTCCTATCATAGCTTAATAATTCCTTATACTAGACTCTAAGTTATTTTGTGATTTCTGTCCTCCTGATTGCATCCAGATTGATCTACCAGGAGTAACCACTTTTCCCCCTCAGCTGTAATTTATATTCTCGATTATAATCTACGTTGATACAGTCAAAGGTCATCCAGAACTTCCCAGATACAGGCACAAACAAACTATAAGAGATTCAGATCAATTTATCTTTTCTAGGGGCAGGAGAATTCAAAGCATTTATAATGGTATTAGAAAAATCACTAAGCAGTAGCATAGTAATTTAGCAAAGCAGAATGAATGGTAAGTTCCAGTTAATTAAGCTGGAATTAATTTAACTTATATTTCAAAGTTCATACTTGAAAAGCTCCATGGATTCCTCTGCTCTCCGTTTCATTCAATTAAGGAGGCTAAAATTGTCAGGATTCTCAAGGAAACAGGGATAGAGAAAGCTTCCGGGGTTAGATGACATCAATATAGGTTAAGTAAGCAGTTTTATTATGCCAAAACTAATATTGCTATGATGTAACTGGAGTTCTATTTACTTTCTCATTTACCAAGGGAACAAACGGGCATATTAGTAATAAACTAGGGTAGAAAATTCAAGACACACCTGAAGGTATTATAGTCTACTAAAATACTTTAAAACAAAGAAACAATGGTATTTTTGAGTAAGTTAGAATAGCACCAGTTGTGTGTGCTTTACAAACAAAAGAAACAAGGAAAAAAGAGGAAAAAGGAAAAAAAATCATTATATTTGAACTAGAGAGCAAACATGACAGTTTAGAATATGAAGATGAAAAATAATTTGGAACCCAATTAGAAAACTTCAGACAGAAAGAGCAGAAACTTTGTCCTTTGAAACACAGATGCATAAGAGACCGTGTCAATCAACTCAAGGACCTGGCATAGAAGTCATTTTCCTTGGGAACTGTATTTACCATATTTGAGAAATTGAAAAATTATACTCCCTGAGAATTCTAAATTGCTTTATTTATCTCCCCAAGGTCAGACAAGTGGTTTTCGGACATGGAAATATCCCATTCTACACTAAACAACAGCTCCAAGCTTTATTGTGTGTTATTACATGCAGTCACAGACAGGACAAAATAAAAAAATTGCCTTCTTGGCAAACTTCTATTTAAAAGGGCTCCCCTAGTGCTCTACCTTTAGCGAAAATCACAAAATGCATCTCACTTTTCCCCAACCCTGTGTTCAAGGTATGAAGGCTACACCTTTCTTATTAATCATTGATGCAATCTTGCCACCTACCCAGACAGATTCTAAATCACAGAATCAAAAGTTCTGTAATATAATACTATAGACAAATGGTATACAGTCCTGTAAATTCTCCTCAGAAAATGAATAGTTTGGCAAATCAGGCACTTGCCGCATTAAAAATAATATGCATATCTCCATATACGATAAATACACAGGCAACATTTGGGCCCGGTACTTACTGAGTTAAATCCTCTCATTCATACGTACAACACAAAACCATATCAGTCTGAGATTTCTGTTAGGTAGCCATGTGTCCTAGCACCTTTCCTCTGTTAAATTTTAAATACTGCAAAAGAACCATTTTCCCTGGGAGGCTCCCACACTTGGGATGAAACTTTCTCTGCGGAATTTTGGCACCCTATTAATTAGTGGTTATGAGTGGGAGCTGCTCTCTCTCAGCAACTCCTATTCTGCCATCAGTCAAGTGTGATTCTGCAATAAATTTCCACGAAGCAAACTATTTCTGGTAATTCTCCCTAATTAACACCAGGCCTGCTAATAATACATCAGTACCTATGTGTTTCTGATATAACCAAGATCTTGTCTGAGCATACCCAAAAAGGGAAACCGCCAATCCAAATTAAGCTTTTGCTGGCAAAAGGATTTTATATGTAGTTCTGTAAGAAAACCTTTGATAATCTTATATTGGGGACATTTCGACTAGAAAACACTGAACGACAGGGAGGCTTGCTCTGGTTTGAGCACTGAATGGGGATTTATTGTGAACACACGGTTGAGACTTAAGCCTATAAATCTTGTACTGGATTACTGTTTCTTAACGAAGGAATGACAGATCTCTTATTTTGTCGGTGCATTTTAATGTGCAATGACGTGATTGATAGAAACCAAACAGCAGCTATTAAAATGTCAGATGCAGACTTGATGCTCTTAAAAGTTTGGCTTCTGGAGTTTAATATACTGTGAGCAAATAGACTTGAATTTCTCTTTTATTCCCAACATAGAGCGTGCAACAGAAACATCTGTCTTAACTTTATACAGTTGGAAAAATATCTTAAACTAATAAACAAATGAGGCAGAGGTGAGCCTACCTAGTTGTGGAATAGTCAGTTAATGAGATTGAGATGAGTTAAGCATCCCAATATCTAATGCAAAATGTGGAAATATGGATGATGATTTATGTTCTTTGATTATGTTCTAATATGATGTTTGATATGACAGGTTGTTCCAATAAATCATTTCAGCAATAAATATTTTCAAAAGACAATAGACCTTATTTATCTATTAATTCATAAACATTGGGTACATTCTACATGCACGGCATAAGAACAGAGAGAAATACAATAAATGTGACAGTATTTTCAAATATTTTGTTTCTGAGACATTTTGATAAGCAAATATCATACTAGAAGGGTTCTTCTGAGAATTATTACATCCTATCCTAACCTGTGAATATGGAACTTGATTATTTTCCCATGATGACTTGATGGAAACCACTCGCCAACCAACAACAACAAAAAGGAGAGCTCATTTACAACAATGCAGTCATTTATTTATTGAGTATGTGCACATTATGGTATTATTACTATACTGATTATATTTATCATGTGACTTCTAATTAGAAAATGTATCCAAAAGCAAAACAGCAGATATACAAAATTAAAGAGACAGAAGATAGACATTAACAGATAAGGCAACTTATACATTGAGAATCCAAATCCAATACATTTAAACATTTGGGAAATGAGGGGGACAAATGGAAGCCAGATCAAATTTGTGTAAAACTATTCAGTATGTTTCCCTTGCTTCATGTCTGAGAAGGCTCTCCCTTCAATGGGGATGACAAACTCCAAATGCCACACAAATGTTAACAGAATACTAGATTCACACTGGAACGGGGGTAAAGAAGAAATTATTTTCTATAAAAGGGCTCCTAATGTAGTACTGCTTGAAAATGGTACATTTTTGTTGTAGATTATTTTAAACATAATGCTATAGTAATATTTTGAAGATTTGAGCTGTTATTTCCATTTGTTTTTACACTGTGACTAAATGATTAGGTTTTAGTTTTAGACTCTAAACGGAACCTGAATTAATAGGAAATAAACACGGTACTATAGTTGTCCTATGGTGCCCCTATGGGTGATGGGTTCCAAGAACCCCCTAGGATACTAAAGTCCATGATGTTCAAGTCCCTTATAGAAAATGGTGTAGTATTTGCATATAACCTATGCACATCCTACCATACACTTTAAATCATCTCTAGATTACCTATAATAGCTAATACAATGTAAATGCTTTGTAAATAGTTGTTATACTATATTGTTTAATGACAAAAAAAAGTTTGTACATGTTCAGCAAAGGCGCAACCATCCATTTTTTTCCCCAAATATTTTTGACCCACAGTGGGCTGAATCACAGATGCGAAGCCTATGGACATGGAGGGCCAACTGGACAAGCATAAGCAGGGGATACTTTTTAGGTTGCTACTTCAGCAGGCAACATTCAGACCATGGAAGTCTAGAGAAAGATTATAAATCTGAACTTACCGCTAAAAATTTTAAAATGGGAAATAAATCCAAGGAGTTTTTAGTCATGCATTATGATTTTAATCTATGTTATGCCAAGTACAGCATTCCAAAATATACATCTAGAGACTAAAAGTAAATGCTCTATAGTGAAGAAGTAATAATTAAAAAATGCTACTAATATAGAAAATTTATAATCAGAAAAATAAATATTCAGGGAGCTCACCAGAAGAATAAAGTGCTCTGCCAGTTATTAAAGGATTACTGCTGGTGAATTAAATATGGCATTCCCCAAGGGAAACAGAGAGATTCTTCTGGATTATGTTCAATATTTATTTCACAGGATTAACTGTTTTAGGAACAGATATAAAGCTTCGCCACGGAAGAGATGGACAAAGCACAAAGACAACATGATACCTTAGGAAGCAACACTACCCTTTCAGGCATAAAATTTGGAGAAATGCAACATTATGCTTCATGAATAATATGTAGAAAGAAGGTCTGATGAAAATGACATCCTTAATGTAAGATAACTTTATAAGAAATCTGGGTCAAATAAAATTCTTTGAAGAAAACATCCAAATGTCATTGACTTATCAAATACTATCTTGGCATATAACCTATGAAGGCAAAACTAAACAAACAAACAAAAAGCTCACACCAAACAAAACCATCAACTTATTTTGTATTCTATAACATACAAGACTGTAAAGATGTGACAGTGTACATTATATGACAATGCACATTAGCCAGCAAGTCTTTTATAGGTGGTTTCAGCAGCAACGATAAATAATGCAGAATTCAGCTCCAGCACTTTATTTCAAAAGAAATTTCCTGCCTCCCTCCAAGATGCAGGGTGAGGAGGTAGCTTGGGGTTGCTATTGGAGAAGTATTCAGTTTGCTACTTTGTGTCACCCCTTGCCATTCTTTTATCCCCAGTTAATTATTATCTGCATATAATATAAATCTGCTAGACCATAAATTAACAGCTTTCAGGACAGATGCCTTGAAAGTTCTTAGGGAGGTTAAACAAATATTGTAGCCTAAAACCTCCTCTATAACAAACATGCACACAATGGAAGTGATGTCGTAAGTGAGTGATGGGGCAGGAAGGACCTAGGGCTCTGTCTCGACTATAAAATCACCTTGCCCCAAACAAATTTAAATTATAACTTAGGAGGTTCATGGACTTTCATCCATTCTGGAAACAAAGAGAAAAACCAAATCAAATACCAGAATCTGTTTTCTCACTGGGCAAATAGCAACAGGATCCACAGTTTTACCACAATTGTTTCCCTGTCTCCATGTGGTATCTACATAATTCTTTTCCCAAAGGAGGAAATCAAATAACAGGCCAATCTGAGTAATTAAACTCCCCTCCCAACACTACCCAACCTCTGTGAATAAAAGCTTTCCAAACTTTGTGATCACATTTGAAATTGGTTCACTTATTATTGAGAGAAAACCACAAAAAGTCTCAATTTCATCACATCCTCAAACCAATCTTTTAATTTTTAAATGCAGAAGAAGAAACAAAACGAAACAAAAAGATCATTCTGCAAAGAGACCTCTCAACTCTTCATCAGCCAGTGGCATAACTCAGAAACTGATTTAACTAATTTATTATTTGAGAAAAGGGGATTGAAAAACAATTGGGGGGTATAATCTTCTGATTCACAATTCCCAGCCACATTCTTTTCTATTTATTCTCTCTCTCTCTTTTTTTTTTTTTTTTTTTTTTTTTAAGAGCCGGAGTCTTGCTCTGTCACCAGGCTGGAGTGCAGTGGTGTGATCTCAGCTCACTGCAACTTCCGTCTCCTGGGTTCAAGAATTTTCCTGCCTCAGCCTCCCAAGTACATGGGACTACAGGCACGCCCCACCATGCCCAGCTCATTTTTGTATTTTTAGTAGAGACAGGGTTTCACCATGTTGGCCAGGATGATCTTGATCTCTTGACCTCATGATCCGCCCGTCTTGGCCTCCCAAAGTGCTGGGATCACAGGCGTGAGCCACCACACCTGGCCCTCTATTTATTCTCTTTAAAGAGAGAGAAAACTATGAGAGGCCAAAATTATTTAATTAAATCTTTACCTTAGCACAAGGGAAAAAAATGGAATTTGCCTAATATAGGTGATGAAGCATACACAATGAATAGAAACAATCACATTTTAGTAAAAGGCAAAAATTTGAGACTTATAAGCTATATGGTAGCTTATTTTTGGGTGGGGAAGAAATGAGAAAAGAATATAACATCTCTTACTGGCATGACACATTTTGATAAAAAATCTTATTGTCCTTTCCTACTAGAATGATCCACTGTAAGGCAAAAATAATATACAAGCAAAGTTTTTTTTTGGAGACAGAGTCTCACTCTGTCACCCAGGCTGGAGTGCAGTGGTACGATCTTGGCTCACTGCAACCTCTCCCTCCCGGGTTCAAGTGATTCTCGTGCCTCAGCCTCTTGAGTAGCTGGGATTACAGGCGCGTGCCACTGCGTCCGGCTAATTTTTGTATTTTTAGTAGAGATGGGGTTTCACCATGTTGGCCAGGCTGATCTCAAACTCCTGACCTCATGTGGTCCACCCACCTTGGCCTCCCAAAGTGCTGGGATTACAGGCGTGAGCCACCGCGCTCAGCCTACAAGCAATTTTTTAAAAACTGACACCTATTACTGATAAAATTCTCTGTTTAAAATCCTATTTACTATTTTAAAGATAAGTATTAGTTTTTTTTTAAATACAATAATTCTGTTATTGATAAAATTTAAGGCATTTTCATTGCCTTTTGCAGATTTACTCATAACTACCTAACAAGGAAAGAAGGTATAATTATTTCAGATTGGATTATTTATTCTAAAATTAAATTCTTCACTAATTTATTCTAAGATGAATTTAATAGTCCATCAGGAAATTGGTTTTTATAAAGCTTATTTTATGGGCATAAAATACAGGAAAAAGTAATAATAAATGCCAAACCGTCTCTTTACTTTATGAAGCCAAATATTTCCTCAGACTTGGTTTTTAAAGCTGGAATTTATTCCTTCAGGGCCACTATTATTTTTCAAAACTCCATATAAATATTGAATCTAAAAATTAATTAGTAATTTTAATTTTCCTTTTTCTCTTCAAATTCCTTCTCTTCTCCTGAACTGTTGACTTTCAAAAATTCACAGAATGAGCATGTTTCTTACACAGGGGCTTGTCCTTCTTGGAGAAAAAGGTCTGACCTTCCAAACTTTCACAACACACCTGAAAAAGAAGCAGCATTTAAGAGATATTATTTAAGAGGATATTAAGAGGATTTTACCCAGTATGCTGGAGAAGGAGAGAGTGATTTTTCCCCCCAATGGATAATATGACAAAACACTTTAGTTGGTTAAGTTAGACTCCCTAATATTTGACGATTACTATAACATTAGATATAATCTTTCAAAAGCAATGAAAAATTGCTTTTTCCTAGAATGTATTCTAATTTATAGAAAGCACTGATCATCACTTTTCTTTATCCAGAGGGAAGATTTATCCCTAACTTGAAAATCAATATAGAAAGGGGGCTCGTTAAATATATTTTATCTCCCCAAATTATAAACAACGTCCTAATTTTGCTTTGTGTTGTAGAGACTCATTTGCTTTACCAAACCTTCCCAAGCCCAACATTAGCTTGCTGCCAGTTACACAGGCACAGAATACCTGAGACCCTTTTTTTTTAAGGGCTGCCTTGTGTTCAAGCTGAGACCTCTTTTGTTTGTTTCTTATAACCAGGTCAGTATCTGGCTGCTGAGGATTATACAGTCAGTCCACTATCTACATTTACAGCTCCTTGTTCTTCCTATTGCCTTTGTTAATTAGAATGAACAGCTTTATTAGAAAAGAAAAGGCAAATCTGCTAAAAGTTCTGCTTTTTATAGACTTTATGAAGTCTAAGAGATGGATGAGGTAAACAAGCAAAAGTTCAATGGTAATGTTTGGGGAAATCATTAAGCACCGATTAATATTACTTTTGCCCCCTTTGTACAATGAGTATTGAAAACTGTAGATATGTTAAATCTAATTTTAAAAAGTCAAACACCTGAACAGAGCACGTTTACTGGATATTTACTTCCTACATTTAAAAACTATTTATTTTAATATTTGAATCCATCCTAATCATTAAACATAAAACCAAAAATATTAAAATATCAAATGAATAGGCAAATACTTTATCACGTTTATTGGACCATAGTCTCAAAAAGAAAAGAATATCCAGGGGCTATTGCTAAGAAAAGAAATGACTCAACATATAGTTTATTCCCAGTGTTAATCCAATAGCCGATTTTTATAATTATTTATTTGTATTTTAAGAAGTACCTAACGTTTCCAAAAACTACAACAAACACTCCAGTAACAGAGGTTTTTTTTTTTTTAAGTAAAGGAATCTTACTGTTTTAAGAAATACATAGCTTCTCCTTATAGACAAAAATATATTAAAATTGTATTTTCTCTAAGGACTAAGGATCTCACTGTGTGCCAAATAATTTCAAAAATGCCAAAAAATTTAATAAACAACTTTCGAAATTTACAAAAAATTAAAAATAATTTTTCCTTAGGTTTGAAGGACTGAAAGACCCAGAAGCTGATATTTCCATTAAATACTAAAGCTAGAATTGGCCATACTATACCCCTTTAATTAGGAAATAAGACTCTACTTACTGAGCATACAAAGCAAGTGTCATGCCAGGTGTAGCCCAGAGCTTCCAGGAACATGTCACCAGCTTCTATGGGAAATTCACATCCATGGCATATAGTACCAAAGAGGGCATAATAATCTGTATTAAGGGAGGGCAGAGAGACATAATTTAAACATGATGAAGTTTTAGAATGATCGTTCCTAGAAGGCAGCAACAAAATCAGGATTAGATGAGATGCTGAAGACAAAGATATTAGGAATTTGAAAAATTTCAGGAGATGGCATAACATTTGGCTTGAGAGAGATGTTTAGCATGTTTCAGGATTCCCTTGGTATAAATATTATTTATACAACCTAACATTCTTGATTATAATTTTCCATGTAATACTTCTCACTTCTCACCAACTACTTAATTGCCTAAATACATATAAAGAACTGTTCTGGCCGGGCGCGGTTGCTCATGCCTGTAATCCCAGCACTTTGGGAGGCTGAGGTAGGCAGATCACGAGGTCAAGAGATTGAGACCATCCTGGCCAAAGTGGTGAAACCCCGTCTCTACTAAAAATACAAAAATTAGCTGGGCGTGGTGGCGCATGCCTGTAGTCCCAGCTACTCGGGAGGCTGAGGCACGAAAATTGCTTGAACCTGGGAGGTGGAGGTTTCAGTGAGCTGAGATCGCGCCACTGCACTCCAGCCTAGTGACAAGAGTGAGACTGTCTTAAAGAAAAAAAAAAAAAAGAACTGTTCTGTGACCAGTTATCAGTAGACATGACTGTTCTGAAGAAATACAAAGGACTTCTAATAACTAGCAACAATAAGACTAATGAAGAGAGATCAAAAACAAAATCTGATATTGGCAAATTTCATAGCGTATCTGACTTGGTCAAGGAAGAAAAAAGAAACATTACAGGAAACTTACATGAATAAGTGCTATGACTGAGTTTCTAGCTAGACTGTATCACAACGATATTAGCCACAATTTATTTTGCTGTATTTTCCTTTCAATTTTATGACTTCATGTTGAAAACCCTTAGCCAGAAAAGACCATTTACTTGACATAGATTACAGTTATAAGAATACTAACAGGATTTCCTTCTGACAAAAGCAGTTTTGAGATGTTTCTCTATTACTAAATTAGAATTTTCTTTTTTTTTCTTCTTTCATTAGAGAGACAGGGTCTTGCTCTGTCACCCAGGCTTGAGTGTAGTGGTGTGATCATAGTTCACCGCAGCCTCCACCTCCTTGGCTCAAGCCTCCTCCTGCCTCTGTCTCCTGAGTAGCTGAGACTACATGTACAAGCCACCATGTCCAGCTAATTAAAAAAAAATTTTTTTTGTAGAGACAGGGTCTTCGTAGGCTGCCCATGCTGGTTTTGAACTCATGACCTCAAGTGATTGCCTCACCTCCCAAAGAGCTGGGATTAAAGGCACTGAGTCACTGTGCCTGGCCCTAATTTTCTTTTCTTTTTTGTCTTTTTGAGACAGAGTCTCGCTCTCTTGCCCAGGCTGAAGTGTAGTGGCGCGATCTCGGCTCACTGGAACCTCCACCTCTCGGGTTCAAGTGATTGTCCTGCCTCAGTCTCCCGAGCAGTTGGGATTACAGGTGCCCACCACCAAAACCTGGCTATTTTTTTTATTTTTTTTTATTTTTAGTAAAGACAGGGTTTCCCCATCTTGCCCAGGCTGGTTGACCTAATTTTCTTTTATGCAGCTCCTCTCACTACTGTGTTGACTCATGGTTCACCCTTTGGCCTTTGACATTGTCAATCCAACCTCAGCTGGAGAGGAAGGCAGGCTATAATTTGCAACTCGATTAACCTTACTTGGCAATTGTCAATCTTTAGTATTCCTTAGCACCATTTGCTCAGCATAGATTCATGCAGTCTACTGTGTGCCAGGCATTGTTCAAGGCACTGCAGGGGTACAGTGGTGAAGAAGACAGTTGAGGTTGCTTTCCTCATGGGGCTCATATTCTCATTGGAAAGAGGATGTCATGATTTATTGAATTTAAAAAATAAATGATAATAAATAAATTTCAGATTATGATAAGTACCATGAAGGAAAGAAAATAGTAATTTAATACAAAATAATTGGGGGGGGCACTACACTATTAAGGAAAATTAGAAAAGGCCTCTCTGAAGAGGTAATAGTTGCAATGAAACGTGAATATAGAGGAATCGCCGCAGAAAAACTGACAAAGAACATTCAAGTTAGAAGAAACAGTAAGCACAAAAGCCCCAAAGAAGGAAGGATCTCAGCATGTTCAGAAAAATGCCAAAGGGCTGCTTATGGGTAGAATCTGGTGACAGAAGGTAAGGTGAGAGGAGATAAGGATGGCAAAACAGGCCTTCAAAAGTGTAATTTGGCCGGGCGCGGTGGCTCACACCTGTAATCCCAGCACTTTGGGAGGCCGAGGCAGGTGGATCACTTGAGGTCAGGAGTTCTACACTACCCTGGCCAACATGGTGAAACCCCGTCTCCACTAAAAATACAAAAATATTAGCCGGGAGTGGTGACAGGTGCCTGTAATCCCAGCCACTTGAGAGGTGAGGCAGAAGAATCGCCTGAACCCGGGAGGTGGAGGTTACGGTGAGCCGAGATCGGGCCACTGCACTGCAGCCTGGGTGACAGAGTGAGACTCCATCTCAAAAAAAAAAAAAAGTGTAATTTTTTTCTAGTGGAACCCACTAAAGGGTTTAAGCTTGATCTAATTCACATTTCAAAAACTATTACTGGTCAGGCGTGGTGGCTCACGCTTGTAATCCCAGCACTTTGGGAGGCTGAGGTGGACGGATCACGAGGTCAGGAGATCGAGACCATCCTGGCTAACATGGTGAAACCCCGTCTCTACTAAAAATACAAAAAAATTAGCCAGGCGTGGTGGCGGGTGCCTGTAGTCCCAGCTACTCAGGAGGCTGAGGCAGGAGAATGGCATGAACCCGGGAGGCAGAGCTTGCAGTGAGCCAAGATTGCGCCACTGCACTCCAGCCTGGGCGACAGAGCAAGATTCCGTCTAAACAATACACACACACACACACACACACACACACACACACACACACACACATACACACATATATACTACAGCTGCTCTATGCCTGCTGTTTGGAGGTTGGAAGGAAGGTGAGGGGCTATACCATTTAGGTGCCAATTACAATGTCCAGAAAAAGGGTGAAAGCAAGTTAGCTTCAGTGACTTTAGCTTTAGTTAGCTTTAGTGGAGATGGAGAGAAATAAATGAATATGATATACGTTGGAGGTAGAGCTGCCAGAATTTCCTATTTAGATTGGATAAGGAAAGAACAAGGGGAAAAGCAGAATCCAACATGGCCTGCAGGTTTTTGGATAGTGGACGATGGGGTTATTTATTGAGATAGAGGAAACTGGGTTAAGAAATGGTTTGGAGGTTAAAAGAAGAAAAAGAACAAAAACAGACCAAGTTGATTAGATGTGACATTTAAATAAATATTCAATAATGTTTTTCCTTTCCTATAAGTAATTATTTAGTATTTAAAATATGACTTCAAATACATTAAATATAGGTATTAAGGCTAGACTGTTTTATGTGTTTTGGCTAGATATGGGCTACCTGCCAGTTAGTCAAAATGTCTTCCAAAGCTGCTAAAACAAACAAATCAAACTAAAAACCAAACAAACAAACAAACAAACAAAACCCAGCCCTTTCTTCAGAAAAATTAAGTGGAATTACAAAATATGAAGTATTCTGGTTGAATTGAGGAAGGCAGCTTGTGGCCAACCTGTCCCAAAACAGCCCATGGGGTACTTCACTGGAATTTCTGGGGTTCCTGGGAGACAGTCTGGAATATATCCAGGTTGGTTTAAACTAAGGAGCTGAAAGGAAGATGAAAATAAGAGAATACTGAGTGGGCAAAGAAGGGCTGAATGATGATGACACAGCTTCAACTTAGAAGCTGACTGCTCCTTTAACTCCATTATTTTGGAATACCTCCTTCTATCAGCACAGAGCTTTGAATTTCAAGGTAGAATAACAATAAAACTCAGTAGTGAGAATGCACTGGTAGTGAATAGAGGCACAATAAAGGAAAAATGTTTTGTATTTTGAAACATGTATATGTGGTAGTAATATCTAAGTAAGGGCACTATTAATAAATGTTATAAAAGTTCACTTACAGACTTTGGGAAGGAAAAGGAAACGTTCTGAGTTTGTGTAATAAGACAAATGCAGTAGATAGGTCCTTTTAGTCTAGTTTATTAAAAATCATTTTACCAAGGGAACAATCCAAGTCAGGATTACCTTCTCATTCAGTAAAAGTAACAAACGATCTCCAGTTTATTTTCAAGGCAGTCGCCTTAAAGGGCAAATCAATATCATATTCTAAAGTGGAACATTTCTGATGTTTACAAAATTCACTACTGGACTACAAGAAGTGGACTTAAGGTACATGATTTAGTAGAATTTATATCCACAAATCATTGGGAATTCAAGCAAAATATTTTTCCTACTAAGTAATGCTTACATTCTCAATTCTAATAATAAAGTTGGGAATATCTGTTTTGACAAAGTCACATTAAAAAGTCTATATAGGGCCAGGCGCAGTGGCTCATGCCTGTAATCCCGGCACTTTGGGAGGTGGATCACCTGACGTCGGGAGTTCGAGACCAGCCGGGCCAACATGACGAAACCCTGTCTCTACTAAAAATACAAAATGAGCCGAGCATGGTGGCACATGCCTGTATTCCCAGCTATTCGGGAGGCTGAGGCAGGAGAATCGCCTGAACCTGGGAGGCAGAGGCTGCAGTGAGCCGAGATTGGGCCATTGCACTGCAGTCTGGGCAACAAGGGTGAGACTCCGTCTCAAAAGAAAAAAAAAAATCTACATAGTTTTTTCTACATGCTTAGAGCAGCATTAAATGCTTCCAAAACAATTAAGAAAATAACTTTGCCTAATATTTTCTTGAGCTTTATAGTAATATAAGGGTTAATGTTTTACCTTTATTCAAAATTCAAGAAACAAATGGCTCCCTGATCTTACCAGTCTCACAGTAGGGTTCACCATCCTCCAAGTGAAAAACATTGTTCCGAATGGGCTTTCCACAGGCTACACACACAAAACAGGAAACATGCCAAGTTTGTTTCAACGCACTGATGACTTCCTGTTACAGAAAGGTAATTGGATGTAAAAAAAGAAGATGACAATAAATACATAAATGTTTATTCTAATATCTGTACCAGTAAATCCCTGTAGAGCTAATCCAAAGTAGGCACACATACTTCATTTTTGTCTTGAGCTTTCCCTCAAAGTAACAAGAGATACTTAAGAACAGACTCACAAATCATCTAAACGGATGCATATTTAGACGTGTGTTCTTTACAAATGCCAATCAATAAACTTAAAGAATGATCACTATGTTATTTATACATTATATGTACAGTGAATAAAGTAAGCATTTCATAAATGCTTGCTACAAAACTTTCTGCTTCTTCTCAAAGGGTGTCAGGAAACATTAACTTACCAAGGTTTTATGGTATTATCTGCAAAAGTTCTGGGGGAAGGAGGAAGCATTTAAAAATTAAAACAAACCTATACTTTGGTGCATTTTAGAAGCAATAATATAATATATATAATTTAATAACAAAACATAATGGGGCCGGGCGCAGTGGCTCACACCTGTAATCCCAGCACTTTGGGAGGCCGAGGCGGGCGGATCACGAGTTCAGGAGATCGAGACCATCCTGGCTAACACGGTGAAACCCCGTCTCTACTGAAAATACAAAAAATTAGCTGGGCGTGGTGGTGGGTGCCTGTAGTCCCAGCTACTTGGGAGGCTGAGGCAGGAGAATGGCATAAACTCGTGAGGTGGAACTTGCAATGAGCCGATATCGCGCCACTGCACTCCAGCCTGGGTGACACAGCAAGACTCCGTCTCAAAAAAATAAATAAATAAATAAAAATAATAAAATATACATAATTATATATAGTTGTATATATTACATGTATATAATGTATATAAATGTATATAATGTAATAAAATATAATAAAAATATAATGTAATCCAATCAGTTTAACACGTGTTTAGGCTTTTGGAAATCAGCTAAGATGGCACTAAGCACAGACTCGAATGTGTAAAATTTGGACCATATTCTAGTCAGCAATGGCCCAATGGTTAAACATACCAAGTTATAAAGATTTGGGCCAGATATTAGTTAGTAAAAGAGGTTTTGGGTGTTGGTTTTACAAGAAATCATTTCTTTGGATTGAGAGAAAGATGGAGCCATTAAAATAATTTTGGATGAGTAGTGAATACTCTTTCTATAATATTTATCACAAAAAATCATATACATAAAGCATGATTACAATTTTGTAAACACATTACTTATAAAGAGCAAACTAGAAAAAAACACATCATAAGGTTAACAGTAATTATCTGTGATTGGTAAATATTTAGGTCATTTAAATTTATTCTTTAAATTTTTTGTGTTTTCTAATTGTGCTTGAGTGAACTATTTTCTTTTATAAAAAATATCAAAATAAAATGAAATAATATAGACTTATTAGCCATAGAAATTGTCACAGTTCACTACTGAAGGACAATGGGAAGAAACAGACATTTAGATCCAAAAAATTCACCATGAACATTTGTAGAAGATGTATATTGAATCAAACTATCTCCCAAGGCTTCCAGAATATTCTTCCCTTTCCATCCTTGAGAGAAATCTTTAACAGGTAATCAAATAACTAAAATACAATCTAGACAAGCTATTGAAGTTCTGGCCCATCTCCAAGGCAATGAGTATGAGATTTCCATTTCCCAGAACTTTATTTGGGTCTAAGACTCTAACTTCACTTTGTTTTGTTATTCTAACATTTATAGAATACCTTGATACACTAAAACAGTATTAATGAATATTCTATTAATTATTTGTTATCATTTGGGAAGGTACAGTCTGAACCATTCCACTTCTTTGTTCCCAACATATTACACAAATCAATAATCTAGAAATATTTCAGGTGACATATATATAATTTTAAGTGTCTTCAACGTTTCAGACATATTTAAGGATATCCTAAGAGATATCTTAAGACTACTCAATAATTCATACTACCTATTCTCTCAATTAACAATAATTAGAGTTTCATTATCATATTTTCACATTGAGAGTATATTAGAGTTCAGCAGGGCCATGTCCAATTTTTGTGTGAAGCCAGGTACTCTGGCTTCTTCTGAAATCAGATTCCAGCTCCTAGTCACCATAAAGTATGCCTGACCCTTACTTTATCATTGGAAACTAGGTATTCCAGAGCAAGAAATTCATGTATTCATTATTTATTATGTACTGTATCTGATTCCTAAATTACTCCTTTTTTTGCAAAAAAGGAAAAAAAATTATTTTTCCATCACATGTGCACTCTCATAAAACTGAGGTTATATTTTTAAACACTGTATGTATTCAAGAAAAATATATCATTTATAAACCTCATGTTTTATATATTTCATGAAATCAGTGTCCTGTGCTTGAACTCTGACAAGTAGGGAAATACTGCTCTTATAAAAGCTATGGAATTTAATTTAAAACAGTGAAGGTGTCAGTTCTAAGAACTCAGATGTGTGTGGTCCTATGCGACCTCTTCATTCCTGAGCAAACAGGCTCCTGTTGAGGAAGCACACCCACAGTAAATTATTTTTTCCCCACAGTGGCTAGACTTTCACCAGACAAGCCAGCACTCAGTGAGACAAAACCAAAGACAACCTAACCCCATGAGTCCGATATATTTCCACAGAGGTCTATTTAGTTTTGCTTTACAATAATAAATAGTGCCGAAAGCAGAGAGGGCATAAAGCAAGAAGAAAATAAAAAGTTAAAGTGATAGAAGACTTTCATATCAAAAAATTATTCTACTTTAAAACTCATTCAGAATAAAAACGTTTCCAATACTTACTCCAAGGATCTTCCTTTGGCATCGACCACATTCAGGGGCAAAGAATTTCTCATAGCACAGCTCACAATACAGGGCTCCTTTCTCCTCTACAAATCCAATGTAGGCCATTGTATTTTTGCAGTGAGCGCAGTTGAATTCTTCTGGGTGCCAAGATTTCCCCAGTGCCACTAAGAATGGTCCTCTGACAGAAGAAAAAGAGGCCAACTAAGTTTGAGAATAAAATTTCTAGAGTTAGCCTGGATATGGACCTCTTTTATGCAATGTCCAACCAATTAAATACTTGCTCAATTTTCCTTCTTAAGGACTGAACTCATGGGTGTTGGGTGTTGTAAATTCACAGAGGGACTCTGCATTGATGTGAAAAGAAAACGGGAGACGTGCACTTAAGGGATTCCTTCAAGAAAGGGCACTCCCCACCCTTTTTCTGCCTAAGGGAATTTGGTGATGTTTTATTGAGCTGAAATGAGGCAATCTGTCTGCATCATGGGTAGGATTGAGAATGAGGATGTTAACTGTGACTGTGACAGAACATGAGGCAACCAGAAAAAAATATATGGTTTAGGCAGAGATGAGACTTTGACACTTCTACAAAAGAAACAAACAAAAACTTCAATTTGGTAAGTCATAGTGCTAAAAATAGTAATAACTATTACCTGAGACAATTTCTCTTCCCCACAATTTCTCTTCCCCACACATTCTTTCATGTATTTATTTCTCAACTTTACTAAACACATCAAGTCCTCACCCTCCAAAATGACTACAGGAACTGTAAACTAGGTATTATCAATTGTCTGAAACTACTCAGAAAGGTTTCATTTCACTCAAATATGACTGATTTATTTCAAAAATTTAATTTTATTGTGGTAAGAACCCTTAAAATGAGATCCACTCTCTTAACAGATTTTTAAGAGTACAATGTAGTATTGTTAATTATGGGCACAATGTTGTACAGCAGATCTCTAGAACTTATTCATCTTGTATAACTGAAATTTTATACCCACTGTGCACCAACTTCCCTCTCCCCCCTCCCCAACATGACCGATTTTTAACACACATTTGTATCAAGGTAACAAATGTTTGTAAGAGATTTTTTTCCCCATTAAATACTTTATGGTCATGAACTGATAAGATGGGCTTGGTTTGCTTGGCAGGAATCCATTATGAAGCCTTATCTAGTCATGAAGCCTGCAGAGACTAACCATTCTAGCCTCTGCAACATACTTTTCAGTAGCTATATCACACTAATTTATATTCATAGAGCAGCTTTACCTCCAAGGCACTTTTACACTTATCTAATTTGTCCATGCAACATTCCTGTGAGACAGACCAGGACAGTTATTATGAATTCAGTTTAACAGATGGAGAAGCCAAGGTACAGAATGTTCAAAAGATATGACAAATATCATAAAATCACTGACCCAGCCAAGGCCAGAAGTTGAATTTCCTGATTTCTAGTATGCCGCTCTAGTCAACTGATATTCTGCCTTTGACCTCATTAACATCACTTATCATCCCTAAGCGACCACATGGTAATTGTTGGTAAGCATCAGACACCAGACTTCCAGGCAGATTATTAACAGGAGAAGTCATAGCAATGAGTATCGCAAAGTCACAGCATTTTTAAAATTCTGACAATAACATAAACCTTGCTATTCAATAACTATCTCCCACTGTAAATTCTTTGTCACCATATTGATGTTTACTCAGAATCAGCACCTAATTCTGCAAGAGTCACAAAAGGAGAAAGGCTCTTGATGAGTGATTAAAAATTTTTACGTGGGGTGTAAGAGGGTATTTTCTAGCCCTACTTTTTGTTAACTTGTTTCTTATTAATAACATGATGCCATTTTGTATAAGCTAGTACATATCATTCTCTTAAGTTTGAGATAGGCAGTTTATTATTATTATTTTTAAAACTTTAGGGTACCATAATTTTGTTATGACTAATAAGGAATGCCTTTGTTTACTAATTCCTGCCAGAAAAGAAAGGCTACAGATCACCTATTCTGTAATCGAATATATTACTTTTGGTAAGTGGTCCATCATTTTCAACTGACTTATAAAATAACAATCCTATTCAACGAGTTCCTTCATCTAATTTTCTCAGTGTATGTTTGGCAAGTAGTTTATCAGCAAAGATAAACCAGGAATCACACTGCTCAAAGCCAGACAAAGTTTGATGAGTGCCCTGTGTTTTTCCGCCAGGTGGGCAACTGGTTATACACGCATGAAAAATCTTCCAGGCTCAATTTACTGTGACCATAACACAGAGCATGGTAGAGCTTTGGGGTTTCATGCTACTCTCTGGCTGCACATTAAAACAGATTCAAAGCCATTTACTAGGGTGAGTTTTTTACTAGGGCACATCTTTAGCTCATCCATAAGGCTGGAGGACTCTTGAGGCTAGTATTCTTATTTGGCTTCTCAGTTTTCAAAGAAGTCAATCCAACTTCAAACTGCATTCTGTTAAAGCATAAGTGTTGGTATGTACCTGGAACAAAATGAAAAGCTCTGCTCCTGGAACATGTCTATCAATGCTATCAAATATTTGACAAAGTTCATCTGAGAAGAAAAAAAGACATTTAAGAATAACTGACCAAGGAAAATACATTCCATTTGCCAGATTTTCTAAAATATGTATTGAGTTCAAGTCAGATCATCAGAAAACTGGGTTCTGTGAATCACAGCATATTGGGCCTGCTGCACCCCGCAGGATTATTCCTTTTATGAACGGTGCTTGTTGTGATACATGAACCTGTACTGGTAGTTGTTACAGGACACAGCTCTATGAAATTCACCCTTGCTCTTCCTGCAAGTTGTTGCTGGAGTGTTGTTAGATCTCATCCAGCGTCACTTTCACATGGTCTCATTCAGAAAAATTCCTCCCTGATTTCTGCAGCAAGAACTATTATGCTTTTCCTCAGCAGTAGTCTTATTTTTATCTTATTGTAAATTGCAAAACTACCTTTCATTTTTGGTAGACTACTAGAAGGCCTAAAGCCAGATTTACAGTCTAACCAGAGGCAAGTGGGCAGGTCATTATTTTAGTATCGTCCAGTCTCGACGTTAGCTTCATTTTTAACGAGCCTATCGATGAATTTCATTCTTTTTCCCCTTTTGTAATTTATAAGATTATCTTATATTTCACATACCTGTAAAAGTCTTTTTACAAACTTGCTGGAATATAGTTCACTATAAATACATAAATTAAAACTACAGTCCATTAAAAGGATGACTTTAAAATATTTCATTAGTTCCTTTCAAATAGCAAAAGGAATTTTAGACAGTAAAGAAATTCCCACTGCACCTTTAAAAAACAAGCTGAAAATGACCCTTGCTCCTCTCAGATCTCCTTTCTTAAACAAGCATGCTCAGGGCAACTACTGGCCTAACTTGATACTTCTTGGCTGTCCTGAAAGAGCATCTTTCTCCATCAATGCCCTTGAAATTATGCACAGATTAAACAATAAAATTAATCTTTCACATATAGCAAAGTGTTTTCTTCTCTGTGTCAGCAAAGACTAATTTAACAAATTCATTAACACAGGATTAACACTAAAGAAGTTCTTCTTGTTCCAGGTAGGATTGGGTTTCCATTTGTGAACAGGAATGACAGGCCTAGATAACTGCAGAGTGGAATTAAGTATTCAGCTATCTCTTCTAGTATTCGATGTCCTGTGAGCCCTTACTAAGTACATGTTGACTGACAAATGGAGGGAGAGGAGGGATTTAAAGCATTTGGTTGGCTGTGAGAGAAGAGCTACGGCATGAAACTTTTCACCCTGTTTATCTTCTGTGAGACCTATCCAAAAAGGCGGGGCATGTGGGGGGAAGAAAGGAAAGGTAGGGAAGGATGCCAAGGAAGAGTTCAGAGAAAAAGGAAAGCTTACAAATACAAAGGTGAAAGGAACTCAGATTTCAACAGGCACAACCTAACTGGGATTTAGCCTCAAAATCTGATGCTTATTTTTTGCTGCTCTTTGTTATTTAATTCTCACAATAATCCCAATGACAGAAATTAACTTTTTCATATACGTGTAGATGAAGAAAACGTCAGAGAAATCAGCCAACTTTCCTAAGATCATATGGATGACGAACTAACTGTAATACTGGAATTTTTCAAAGCCCAACCACAACAGATTTTATTCGACTGAAAATTACTGTATCAATAGAAGTAAAAAACAAGTTTCCCAAAGCTATAAAAAAACTGACGTGCTCAAGAATAAAAACAGAATCTGATATTCTACTTAGTTAAATATACTAATACAAATGTACAAACCACTTTTATGTTTTTGTATTTGCCAACATTGAGGAAGGGCCTGGCGTGAGCA
This sequence comes from Homo sapiens, assembly GCF_000001405.40. Classification (NCBI taxonomy): domain Eukaryota; kingdom Metazoa; phylum Chordata; class Mammalia; order Primates; family Hominidae; genus Homo; species Homo sapiens. The sequence goes on along the minus strand of NC_000004.12, from coordinate 94,650,309 downwards.
AAGGGCAAAAGAACAACACAGCCACAGGAATAGAGTGAAATAGGAACAAGATAATCAGGAGAAACTGCACATAAATACATTCACAAACGATTACACACAAAGACACAAGCAGGAAGAGAGTAAAAGAGAAACACAGTGACTATCGTCTTAGAATACTCAAAACTGCAGACATTAACAATCCTTCCTAAAATTTGGAAACACTGTATTTGTCACTCTTAATTCTTCATTTCCAGTGGATTATATGCAAACTTTCCAATTTGGAACATTAAAAAGTAATTCTTTCGCTGAATGTCAACTTTAACTTTCAGTCCTTTAACATACTACATTTAAAGGGTTGTGAGGCCACCTATAGTTTTATATCTGAAAGGCATAAATGACTTGCTTCTCCAAAATAAATGCACAGGTAAAATGAGTTTAAACATAATAGTAAATAAAGAGAACAAGTTCTAAAGAAGGTAACCTTAATTGACAATTTTTTAAAAGTCTACTGGAGACAACTACAGTCAATTCTTTTTGAGATTATTATAAAATCTGCAAAGCAGGATAAATGTAATTCAATAATAAGACAAGTGAGATATAATTTCAATTTGGCAACACTAATATACATTCTACAAATATTTAAAAGTTCATCTATCAATTGAGCAAGACTTTACTAAATGCAATATGTGCTAGGCACTGTTCTAGAAACAGGAAATCTGGCAGGGAACAAAGCCAAAAAAAGCCCTGATTGCATGGAACTTATATGCTAACATAGGGCAGGGAGATGACAGTAAGATAAATAAAATATATGGCATGTTAGATATTAAAGGCTGACAAGAAAAATTAAGCAGGGAGGGCAGAGAGGAAGATGGTATAGGTAGGAAGTAGGGATGAAATGGGAGAATTTAAATAGGTGACCAGGAACACTCTGATATTTGAGTAAAGACCCTCTCCATGAGTGTGGGTAGAACCTGTGGCCATGACAGGGTATCACTCCTGTGATTAGATAACTGTAAATAGCAAAAAGGATTGTGCAGATACAATTACATCCCCTAGGCCAGGCATGGTGGCTCACGCCTGTAATCCCAGCACTTTGGGAGGCTGAGACGGGCGGATCACTTGAGGCCAGGAGTTCGAGACCAGCCTGGCCAACATGATAAAACCTCGTCTTTACTAAAAATACAAAAATTAGCTGGGCATGGTGGCACGTGCCCGTGGTCTTAGCTATTCGGGAGGCTGAGGCAGGGGAATCGCTTGAACCCAGGAGGCGGAGGTTGCAGTGAACCAAGATTGCGCCACTGCACTCCAGCGTCAGCAACAGAGTGAGACTCTGTCTCAAAAAAAAACCAAAACCAAAATCAAAAAAAAACAATTACATCCCCTAATCAGTGGATACTGTTAATCAAAAGACAGATCATCCTGGATGGGCCTGACCTAATCAGGTAAACCCTTAAAAGAAGTTAAAAAGCAACAGGAGAGGCTCTACTGCTGGCCCTGAGGAAGAAAGCAATCATGTTGTGAACTGTCTAAGGTGGGGACGGCCTATAAGGACGTCAGTCCCAGAGCTGCAAGGAACTGAATTTGCCCAACAACCTGCGTGGGCTTGGAAGAAGATCTGGATCTCTACATGATAACTTCAGCTCAGCTGACACCATGATTTCAGCCTGGTGCGATTCTGAGCAGGGTACTCAGCTAACCCATAGACTCATGACACAGAAACTGTGGGACACTGGCCGGGTGCGGTGGCTCACGCCTATAATCCCAGCATTTTGGGAGGCCGAGACGGGCGGATCACTTGAGGCCAGGAGTTCGAGGCCAGACTGTCTCTACTAAAAATACAAAAATTAGCCGAGCATGGTGGTGCAGGCCTGTGGCCTCAGCTATTCAGGAGGCCAAGGCAGGAGAATCCCTTGAACCTGGGAGGTGGAGGCTGCAGTGAGCTGAGATCCTGCCACTGCATTCCAGCCTGGGCAACAGAGTGAGACTCAGTCTCAAAACAAAAAACAAAAACCTGTGAGACACCTTAGTGTCATTTTTAGTAATTTGAGTCTTCTTTTTTTTTTTCTTGGTAGTTTAGCCAATGTTTGTCAATTTTGTTGATCTTTCCAAGGAACCAACTTGTGGTTTCATTGATTTTTTTTAAATTCTCGATTTCATTCATTTCTGCTGTAATCTTTGTTCTTGCCTTCCTTCTAAGTTTTGGACTTAGTTTGATCTTTTTCTAGAGTCTTAAGGTAGAAGGCAATGTTACTGATTTGAGATGATTCTTCCTTCTGAATGCAGACATTTGCCAGCTATCAATTTCCATCTAAGCACTGCTTTAGCTGCATTCAATAAGTTTTGGTATATTACATTTTCATTTTCATTCAGCTCAAAGTATTTTCTAGTTTCCCTTGTGATTTCTTTTCTGACCCACTGGTTGTTTAAGGAATGTGTTTTTTAATTTCTACATATTTGTGAATTTCCCAAATTTTCTTCTGTTATTGATTTCTAATTTCATTCCATTCTGGTCAGAGAGCATACTTTGTATGATCTCAGTCCTTTTAAATTTATTGAAACTCGTTTTATGACTTAACATATGGTCTATCCCGGAGAATGTTCCACATACACTTCAGAAGAATATATATTCTGCTGGATTCTGCTGTTGCTGAGTGGAATGTTCTATAGATATCTGGTGAAGTATACTTGGTATTTAGTGTTGTTCAAGTTTTCTAGTTCTTTTTGCTATTCTGACCAGTAATCAATTATATCTATTAATTAATATGGAGTGTTGAAGTTTCCAACTATTATTATTGAATTGTATATATTACTCCCTTCCATTCTGACAGTTTTTATTTCACTTATTTTGATGCTGTTAGGTAAATATGTGTTTATAACTCACATTTTCTTAATGGATTGAGCTTTTTATCATTATAAAATGTACTACTCTGTCTCTAGTAATTTTTTTTGTCTTAACATCGATTTTATCTGATATTAGTACAGTCATTCTCACTCTCTTTTGGTTACTATTTGCATAATATATTTTTTTCTATACTTTTACTTGTAACATATTTGTATCTTTTATTTTAAACTGTGTCTCTTGTAGACAACTTATAGTTAGATCATAATTTTATCTACCCTTCCACTCTCTCTTTTAGCTGGAGTGTGTGATATATTTATGTTTAATGTAACCTACTGATAAAGTAGGATTTATTAGTGGCATTTTGCTATCTATTTTCTCTATGTTGTATGCCTTTTTTGTTCCCTTTCCTACATAAAAAAGTGAAAGAGGAATCAAAGTCATCAGCTAATAGTGAGGATGGGAAAGGAGATTTTAGAAGTTTGAGGAGAAAGAAGATGTGAAATGGGTTTTTTGGGGAAAGTGGGAAAGTAAACATATTAGAGAAACAGCAGTCTTTCATTACTATTAAGAATATACCCAGGGAAAAGAAGGAACATACCTGAGATTAGTAGTGATGAATTTAAAAGGAGACTGGTTAGTGTGATTGTGGGATTCCTTCCAGTCACACCCATCATTCGGGTGTGAGCACGGGGTAGACTAGAAATATATACCATGGTGCCAGTATGGTAACTTGCATAGAAGTTTTCAATGGACATTTGTTGTACAAAATATTCATTTGATTATGAATAGACTTCTGAACCTTACTGCTTTCCATTCTTTTCAAATAAAATAAATTGGTTTGTTAAAGTTGGATAATCCTTACCTCTCCTTTTTGCACTGATGTAATCCTAGATGCATCTCTGTTCGACTTACCATATTAATTTGGTTGTTGATTTGCTTGTCTGTATTTTTTATTAGACTATAAACTGAATTAGTTTGCCAGGACTGCCTTAGCAAAGTACCACAGACTGGGTGGCTTCAACAACAAGAATTTATTTTCTCACAGTTCTGGAAGCTAAAGTTCAAGACCAAGATGTCAAGAGGGCTTCTCCCCTTAGTGTATAGATGGCCATCTTCTCCATGTGTCTTCACATGGTCTTCCCTCAATATGTGTCAGTGTCTCAATTTCCTCTTATAATGACACCAGTTAAATTTAATTAAGGCCCACCCTACTGACCTCATTTTACCTCTTTAAAGACCAAATGCCCTCTTCAAATATAGTCCCATTCTGAGGTACTGGAATTTGGGATTTCAGCAAATGAATTTTGGGAAGACACAATTCGGTTCACAACAGTAACCTTCTTAAGAAAAAAGAGCATGTCTTTGATTTCTGTGCCAGTGATATCTAAGGACAGCGGCACACAAAATACTCAACGAATGTTGCTTATACTCCTGCATTAGATGAGAAACTAGAAAAGTGAGCCCCAAGTAATCTACATGAGTTTAAGAATACATATATGCTGTACAAAATAATTTTAGAGGGGAGATGAGAATATTTAACTGTTCAACTTGTTTATTATCTATTATCTTCTTTCTCATTCAAACACTACGAATAAAAGTACACTGCCATAGTCTTCAGTTATGGCAGGTTTACTGAGGGTGTTTTTCTGATGTAATACAGTAATAGATATCATTGTGTGTATATTCATTCATCACAAACACACAAACTCTTGTGCAATAAATTAGAAAGACTGAAGTCGGAGAGAGAAGAAAATAAACATCACATCCAATCTATTATCTGGACATTATAACTCTTAATTTTGGGGTATAGTTCTCTTTTGGTCTTTTTTCTAAAGCACACTGGCTATATGTATTGCTTACTATTATATTCCTAAAAACAGTGGGATAAAACAGTGCCTGGTTCATTATAGGACCCTCAATAAATATTTAATGAATGAATGAATGTATTTCAGAATCAAGCAGATGGGTTCCAGCCCTGGCTCTACTATTTAACCACCTTTGTGACTTTGGGCAAATTAATCTAAGCCTCTGTATTTCCATCTGTAAAACAGGCATAAGAATATATCTACTAACAGGAAAAGAAGTCAGTGTATGGAAAAGATACTTGCACATGCATGTTTATAGCAGCACAATTCACAACTGCAAAAATATGGAACTAGCCCAAATGCCCATCAATCAATGGATAAAGAAACTGTGGTATATATACACAATGGAATACTACTCAGCCATAGAAAGAATAAATTAATGGCATTCACAGCAACCTGGATGGAACTAGAAACTACTATTCTAAGTGAAGTAACTCAGGAATGGAAAACCAAACATCGTATGTTCTCACTCATAAGTAGGAGCTAAGCTATGAGGATGCAAAGGCATAAAAATGACACAATGGACTTTCAGGACTCAAGGGGAAAGGATGGGAAGTGGGTGAGGGATAAAAGACTACAAATTAGGTTCAGAGTATACTGCTCTGGTGATGGGTGCACCAAAATCTCACAAATCAACTCTAAAGAACTTACTCATGTAAGCAAATACTACCTGTTCCCCAAAAACCTATGGAAATAAAAAATTAAAAAAAAAAGAATAATATCAATCCTCTGGAGTTATTTTGGGAATCCAGTAGAATAATACTAATAAAGTTCTTGGCATGGGCTGGGTGTGGTGGCTTACGCCTGTTAATCCCAGCATTTTGGGAGGCCGAGGCAGGTGGATCATGAGGTCAGGAGATCAAGACCATCCTGGTTAACATGGTGAAATCCCATCTGTACTAAAAATACAAAAAATTAGCTGGGCGTGGTGGCAGGTGCCTGTAGTCCTGGCTACTTGGGAGGCTGAGGCAGGAGAATTGCTTGAACCTGGGAGGTGGAGGTTGCAGTGAGCCGAGGTTGCAGTGAGCCGAGATCGCACCACTGCACTCCAGCCTGGGCAACAGAGGGAGATTCCATCTCAAAAAAAAAAAAAAGTTCTTGGCATGATACCAATCAAGTTCAATATATAGTAGCTATTTTTATTGTTATCAGGCTTAAATATATATCTTGGTGTATAGTTTCTTTACATAAAATTGGAATCATACTTTTGAGTTCCTTATTTCATTTTTGCCATATTCATATGATACTATAAACATTTTCCTATGTAGTGGTAGTTAAAAGCATGAATAAAAATTAAAGTTAGACAAATCTGGACTCAAATTCAGGTTCCATTATCTACTACATATGCAACTTCAAACAAATACGTAACTTCTCTATGCCTCAATTTTCTCAACCTTGAAGTGGAATAATCATAGCAACTGTCTCACAGGGTTGTTATGAAAATTCAGGCAAAATTCTTGGTGCAATATTTGGAATATGCTAAAAACACATTTAACTTTAACTATTATCTGAAAATTACATTATATAGATGCTGCACATTTATGTTCTTTCTAATCTTTCACAACAGTAAATAGTGAAATCTTGGTCTCTGTCTTGTTTATGAGTCTTGGTCAATGTCTTTAGTTGTTTCCTTAAATACAAGGGCTAATAATACATTTCCAGGAGGCCTTTTATTTTCAAGTAAAATCTTAATTAGTGGGGATGATAAATAAAACCTATAAATAAAGGGGTGCTCAGAGACTGAAATAAATGGTAAAACAGGCAACAAATTATGCATGTTTTTCCTTGGTAAACTGAGATGGTGCTCCTTATGAGAGAGGTTTGAAAATCACTGAGCAAAAAACAAATCAATAATGTTAAAATTTTTTCTCTCACTGGAACAAACAATGGATTGGCTGTATATAGTTTTTCTGGTGCTGTACTGTAGGCAAAGGCAAAACAATAGTAATGTGGCTATTTAAGCATTCCATATTTAAGAAGAAATTCAAGCACTATAAGCCCCTTATTTCTTTCACAGAGAGGTCAAGCTAAACATAAATAGTTCCGTTAACTCCATGTAATACAAATGGTCAATAGATTTTAATGCCACTAGATGTAACACTTAAGAAATAAACTAGAATGTTCAAAACCCCATTCTACCACGGAAACTGAAATATGATTTTGGCTACAACTGCCTGATTTTCTATGATTCTCTATTATCCTAGCACTCCAACAGTTAATCTATTCATAAGTATGAGTCAAATAAATGGTGCTTCTAACATAATTTGACTGAAAATGTCCCATAGCAAACTTAATCAAAGCTTCAACAGAAGTTCCTAAAATGTAACTTCCTATTCATTCGTAGCTAGTCAAAGTAATGTCTCCATAATACAATTTAGGCAAAACATCCATAAACTTTTCACAATTCAAATAAACCAAAAAATTTTTAAACTTTAGATCCAAATAAGATTACGGAATTTTAAACTGAATGTGCTCTATAAAGAGATAACCAGTTCAGTTCTAACATTCAGATTCCTGAGGTTTTCTAAAACAATCAACTCTGCTGAAAAAAAAAAAATAAATAAAATAAAATAAAACATAAAATGTGCTTTAGTTTGCCTTTACATAAAAAATGGTTTTTGGCAAATTCGAAATATTGAAAAGTAAATATAAAACAAAACAATATAAATTGGTACAAACAATATAAATTATATGACAGAAAACTCACAATATAAATTATAAATTTAAACTTCTCCAAGCTTGCTAGGGTATAATAGTCTGCATTGAAGGTATCAAGCCTGAAACTACAGCTCGTTTTTAAAACAGGTGTCCAAGAGAATGTCACTTGATCTAAAGTCTTCTTGCTTTGGTTAAGTAATAGTGACACTGAGGCCAAGAACTAGAATTATGCTTTGACTAGGCCTCTGAACTGACCACAATCGATTCAAGCTGCTTAAGCATTTGAGCACCAGGCAAATGTGCTATGTTAATTACTGTTACATGATCTTGACATGAACTAATCCCCATTCCTATTAACTTCCTTAGTAAATGAAGCTTTAATGCTTAACTGATAACAAGTACTGGATAATCCAGAACAATATAAAATTTAACAGATGAGGGAGCAATAAGTGATGGCTACTCATGTTAGCATAATACATATTTATTTTACACGGCAGGATGACTGTGCATTAAAATTGCATACTGGCCTGGCATTAAATTTAAAACCAAGGCAGGTAGGGGTGGTGAAATGTAATTTCTACTTTGATCTTCACATTTTCTCCATATTAAGTAAGTTTTTTAGAAGTGCCGGAAGTGGTGATTACAGGATATCATGGAATTTGATAACTACACAACATGAATCAGCAACTGATGTGGTATGACATTTTGTTAACTCACCCAGTAATTACTTGCTTACAATAGCATACAAATAACAGCAGTGACTCCTGTCTCCACAAAGGTGTTTTTATCCAGAATATAGTATCCCTAAGCATCAGTCTAGGCAACCAAAGTACTGTAACTTACAGAAGCAATGTTACAAGTCAGAGTTTGTTTCTATTTTATCGATATTAAACCAAAAATATAACAGCTAAATGCAGGTAGTACTAAAACATTGTTTTCTTTATTAGGATAAAGCAGCAACATACCAGATCTTACATTAGTTTAAATATTTCTATAAGACAGAGACCCCATACTAGCACTTTCAGGAAAATGACTAACCAAATTGACATTATGGCCTAAATGATGAATGGGTCTAGAGTCATGCATGATCTATGCAGTTAAACATTTACTGAATGCCTTCTGTGTGTTGAATACTGCTCTAGACTTTGGAAACCTTTACTGATTTTCCCTTTCTCCCCATAACCACTATTACTACTACCACTGCTGCTGGCTAATTCTTACTAAGCAGGTGCTCACTCTGAAAAATACAATTTAAAGGAAAAATAGCAGCTTACAAAATACTGTATTAGGATTCCATTTTTGTAAAATAATATCTGTCCTTATGTGTGAATGTTTTAAAAGTCTGAAAGAAAACAGATAATAGAGGTTACCTTGGGAGGTGGGATTATGTGTGAACTTTGTTTTTTGTTTTCTGTGTTTCTATGTTTTTTAAACGTCACAATGAACATTGACTACCTTTAAAACAAACAAACAAAAAAACTATTCAGTTTTGAATGGCATACTGTGTGCTATGTTCTTGACACATATATTATTCAATTAATAGTAGGCTAAAGAGAGGGGTGTTTATATTTGACTCTAAATGAAGTATTGAGGTTTCCTGACTCCATTTTAAATATTACCTAGAAACATTATGCTATAATTATGTAATAGAAGAGATGAAAATGCAATTAAGTTTTAACCTTATTCAACTTTAGAGAAGCCACTGTTTCAATTATTTCAAAGTAGGATAAATTTAAAAAGAAGAGAGCTTGAGAAGTCACTTCAAAGGACCATTTGTTATTGCCAACAAGGCAACTCACGAAGTGCAACAAGGTCCTTTGGGTGGGATGCCTGCAATCAGCACTGGTGCCTACACCACCTAACATTCTAAAAGCCCCTTATTCAGAAATACTCAGAGATTCAATAAGCTGCAGTACAGTGCATTCTTAAGATCTGAGACTTTTTCTTCTTGTAATTTAAGAGACAATAAAATAGATTGGGATAAAACGTATTTTAAAGAAGCAGGTCATTACGTAATCTAACATTCAAAACATTTATGAATAGGTCTGAAGGTACCTTTCAGTGCTTGTGTACTCAAAAATCCAATCATCTTTTTCTCTAAGGCTCAAAGTTCTTTAATGTCACTAGTTATTTTTCATCTAAATGAATGTCCTCACTTCTATAATTTGTAGAATAATGAAATTAGGATAAATGACTTTCAGGGTCCCTTTGAGTCTTAAAATTTTATTATTCTCTGAAAGGCCACATTAATCACTTTTTCCTTAGTTCTAATAGGAATTGATAACTGATAACGAACGCAATTAGTACTTTTATTTTCACAGACCTCCGTATTACCTTTCATTAAAATAGATTCTCATAGATAGATATTCGTATTTACTCAATAATTAGTACTCTATAGGATTATGGCAAGAATATTTTCACTAATTACATTACACATACTTCCAAATGCAAAAAAAAAAAAAAAACCCAACATTGATATTAAGTACTTTCAAGAAAATTTCAAAAAACAACCAACCTGATGACCTGGTTACAATGGGCGCACATCGGAGTTCGTTTCCCTGCTGGAATGTGCTCAGCTCTTTGCACTAAAGTGTCCTGGTCACTTGGCTGGGTTTGTCCCAAAGCTGAGTTGGCTGGTGCCACTGATCCTGAGTAAGTAGCGCTGTTTGAGATTCTTCCAGTGGAAGGTACTAGGAGTTAAAACAGAAGAATCAGAATGAGAATAAGCCACATATAAACCTTTCCTAACAATCAAATAATAAAAATTATTATTTTAACAGTAATCTATTCACTTGTTATTCACTCACTCACATTTACAGTGAGGTTATGAATCAAACACTAGGCTGTGACTATGTAGGTAAATGGGAAAGAAAACCAAAGATTCCAACAAAGTAAAAGAATTATGACAGACGTATGCATAGAATTTTTTTTTTTTTTTAAGACAGAGTTTCGCTCTTGTTGCCCAGGCTGGAGTGCAATGGCATGATCTCGGCTCACTGCATCCTCCGCCTCCTGGGTTTAAGCGATTCTCGTGCCTCGACCTCCCAAGTAGCTGGGATTACAGGCATGCACCACCATGCCTGGCTAATTTTGTATTTTTAGTAGAGACGGGGTTTCTCCATGTTGGTCCGCTGGTCTTGAACTCCTGACCTCAGGTGATACATACCTCTGCTTCTACGAGAAGACATGGTTAAGGTAAATATTGAAGGTGAGTTATTTCTAATTCTCTAGACATCTCTGCTAACCATTAATTAGATTTAATTCCAAATATAGTCATAGATGTATTAAAAATCCCAATGTATTGAAGATAACAAAACCAAAAATTAACTCACTATATTCTCTCTGTTCCTGGATTCTCTAAGGAGACTGTGCAACCAGTCACCCAGGAATAGAAGGCAGCTACATAAGAAGCATCCTTGGTCCTTCCTCCCTCTCATTTATAGTAATAGGTCCTGCTGGTTTGATAGTTCACATTGTTCTTGACTTTGCCTCCTCTTCCCCATTCCTATAATACTGTCTTAATTTAGATCCTCAACGTCACCAACCTCGACCAGCTACCAGAAATGTCCTTCTTACATTCATCCTCTCAACAGCCACCTAAGACTGAAATCTGACCCAACAGCATTTAAGGATCTCCCTATTTGACCCCTGAATGTAGTCCCTGCTTCCACGTGCTGCATACAAATCCCCCCAGTGGTCTCTGCTTGCCCCACAACCTCATCTTACACTGCTCTTTGCCTTTCACTTTATGCTCCAAGAACACTAAACTGCCTCACTTTTTCTTGTGAATGGGTCTATGTATGCTCAGGCTGTTTTCACCATCGGTAATGCCATTTTCTACCCTTCTTCCTATTTACCTAGTAACCACTACTTTATTGTTTAAGTCTCAGCCCAGAAGTCGACTACTCCAAAAACTCTCCCTGAATTACATTTCTCCCCAACGCTCTCCATATAATCTGGATTAAATGTTTCTCTTCTGTGTTCTCATAATTTTCTGTTAATGTGTTACTGTTTCTGCTATATATTTCTGTGCCTTTCCTTCCCTTAACTAGATAGTATACTCCCTGAGGGCAGAAATTATGTCTTATTCAGCACCCTAGCAACTTAACAGTGTCTGGAGAGAATAAATGAATGAATAAATAAACTGGAATCAATACAAAAGTGAATGAATGAGAAAACAGTGAGGATTGAAACCAACAGATGGTCTGCTCCTTAGCCACAGGCAATTAAAATCTAATGGAAGAGAAAAGGTGCATGTGAAAATAGTCCAAAAGGAACAACTTTTAAGAAAAGCATACAAATAATACAAATTAACAGAGTGTATACAGATAAATGTATTTACATAAATATACATATATATGTAAAAACACATTGACAGTATATTAAAGTGTAGTTGGAATTGGGAAAGATTAATTAGGATAATTGATATGATAATTCTCCCTCACTAGAATAAAGCCTGTTTGCAATAATGTGCAATTACAGATCCAGAAACCCAGCATTTATAGACACTTCACACATCTTCTACAGTGCACTGCCTGGCACTCGATCTGTGAAACGCCACTTTCAGGCCAGGGAGCTCTATTATTGCCCATGTTTCAAGTGAGTCAACTGGACTAGGAACATGTTTCCATTCTCTTAGACCCACACTTTTCTCTTACAGAAATGGGAAAGAAAAGTGCTGTAATATTCACTTGGTACACTACTTTCTTGTTACCTAATTTGCTCACACAGCCCAACTCTTACCTCTGTGCATCTTTAATTTCTTTATCCAGGCCTGATTTCTTCTGGAGCACCAAATATGTTTTCTCCAGGACGTTTTCAACTCTAACACCTGTTATTATCTTTAAATTCAAGAAATGTAAAATGTATTTCTTCTTCTTGCACATATTACCAGCTCTTGCCAAGAACGCCTAGATGCTAGAATTCTCCCACTCACGCAGGCACAGAACTCGGCCTCCTGTGTCCCCAAGGGTTAGTCCCCAGACCCTAACAACTGTTTCATAGAAAATGTTTCTTTCTCAGGTCTGTCCTTCCGTTCTAATCCAAACCCACCCTCTATCTTTTGAATTCTGGTCTTGAATTCCTCAAATCTGGACTATTGCAAGTCTCCTAACCACTCTCTGCTGCCAGTCTCCCTTTCTACCTATTCTGCTAGATTATTTTTCCAAAAACACTACTCTGATCATATGTTCCTGCTTCTAAAATAAAGCCTCTGTAACTCATTACAAACTATATGTAGTCCTGAAAGTCAAGTCCCTCAATAAGCCCACTCCAATCTTCTGTAAAACCTTATCCTTTCTGTTTCCCCACATATCACTGCCATCATCTTCAGACTAAATTAGAGTTACTTAATACTCAACTTGTGCAATTATTTAATACTATTTGAAAGCACCATTCCTTTTTTTTTGAGACGGAGTCTCGCCCTGTCGCCCAGGCTGGAGTGCAACGGCACGATCTCTGCTCACTGCAACCTCCACCTCCAGGGTTCAAATGATTCTCCTGCCTCAGCCTCCCAAGTAGTTGGGATTACAGGTGGCTGCCACCACGCTGGGCTAATTTTTGTATTTTTAGTAGAGATGAGGTTTCACCATGTTGGCCAGGCTGGTCTCGAACTCCTGACTTTGTGATCTGTCTGCCTCAGCCTCCCAAAGTGCTGGGACCACAGGCATCAGCCACCACGCCTGATCTTGAAGGCACTATTCTTAAATCCTTACAACAGCCCTTTGATTTTGTTATTAGTACCACTTTTTTAATTTATGAGGAATCTGAGGCAAAGAGAGGTTTAAAAATCTGCCCAAAGTCACATAGCAAGTAAAAGTCTTGAACTTGAGCTGTCTGGCTCCAGAGTCTGCTCTTAAACTATGCTATAGTTTATTCACTATCCCTTGAACATGCCACACCAGACACTGCCTCTGTGACCCTCAGCCAAGGAAATGTCCCTTTTCCTACTGCTACTCATAGTTTTCCCATTCTGTAAAGCCCATAGAAGTTTCATTTTCTTCTCCCAAGTCTTCTCTGACCACCCCAGCTAGAAGTAACACTCCTCACCTGTATAATTTATTAGCTATTTATCAATATCCTGTCAATATCTTTTCCTCCCTAAGTTAATTATTAATTATTTAAAAATGAGTGGCCCGGCGCGGTGGCTCACGCCTGTAATCCCAGCACTTTGGGAGGCCGAGGCGGGCGGATCATGAGATCAGGAGATCGAGACCATCCTGGCTAACACGGTGAAACCCCGTCTCTACTAAAAATACAAAAAAAATTAGCTGCGCGTGGTGGGCCTGTAGTCCCAGCTACTTGGGAGGCTGCGGCAGGAGAATGGCGTGAAGCCGGGAGGTGGAGCTTGCAGTGAGCCAAGATCGCACCACTGCACTCCAGCCTGGGCGACAGAGCAAGACTCCATCTCAAAAAAAAAAAAAAAAAGTACGAACTCTATATACTTCTTTCTATCCACAGCCAAAAAATTACCTTACAAATAAATGATGAAAAAATATTATTTAATCAGTTACATGAAAAAAGGAAGATTCCCAATTTTTTTTTTTTTTTGCCTTTTTAAAGAAGACTGTAGAGATAGATACTTTAAAAATGTGGATTAGGTTCAGGATTTCAAATAATGGGAAAGTAACCAATTGGAAAATCTGAAAATCAGACCTCAAAGAAAGCCAAACCCTTTCATCTACCATATGCCTTTATTTTATCACATTATCTATGCATAAGCTCTAAAGTACTGAGTCACTGAGATACTTTTAGCAATAAAAGAGTGTGGTAATTCTCCATCAGTCATTGTAAAATGGGACATAATCCATCTGGCCCATGCCTCAAGGAGAAGGTATACGGGGAACTAACTTATTTAGCATGAGAAGCCATTCTTAAACATGAAACATGTGACTGTATCTCAAACACACATAAAAAGGCTCTAAGTTCTACCGCTATTCCTTTCTTGGGAAGAAAAGCCTTGCTTTCCGTTACTGCCCCATTTTAACCACTTTGGATATGAAATAAATTCTCACACCTCCATTTGTTGCTGTGTTGCTAGCACATTGGCCTGCACACAAAGCTACACAAGCTCTATTAATTACCAAGTCCTGAACATTTCCACGGCACAGCTATTTCCCGTATGAACAAAGTGATGTTTCATTTCTTCAGACTGAATTTCTCACCACCGCTCTAGCACAGGAATGGGCAACCTTTGAGCAGTCAAGTGCTAGCCTCCTAGTCTCTGCTCACTTGGCTTACGGGGAAGAGGGACGTGTAACAGGGTGAGGTCTTGGGACAGGGGAAGCACCATAAATGAGCCCTGCTTCCATTATAATTTTGTGGAGAACTACACTACCATACAAAGAAAACCAGTCTTCCATGGGTAGCACATTGACCTCTAAAATGCTCCAAATGCATTGAACCCATTGCAAAAACCATTTACTTCTATGTAGAAAGAAAAATACACCTCTTTAGAGATAGCTTAAGGATGACAATCTACTTGTCATCACAGTTTTTTTTTTCTTTTAAGTTCTAATGATAACATTAAACAGGAGCGTTGAATCAGCCCCATTTCACAATCTAGGAATGTAAGTCACAAAAAGTGTGACTTTTTCGAACTGAATAATGAGCAAGTCAGGAAACTGTCACAATGAGAACATCAGGAGGAAATTGGTTCTTGACTCAAGGCTTGAGCAACTTTCATTAAATATTGGCTTCTTTTATGGCTAATCTCTACTCCCTGGGAGCTTGTTTGAAAATTACTTTTTTTTTCTTTTGTACCAAATACATTTCACCACCAGAAAACTAGAAATTCAAATCCATTAGCTTCTCTCCAAACCAATAGTGTTGGTGAGAATCTCTTTCGTTAACTTTAAAATTGCTATTTATGAGTCTTCTAAAGGTTCAGAATAACATTCATATTTAATCTTTTCTTTGGATTTTCAACACTGATAGTCAAACCTAAGATTACAATAATTACCATTAAATAAGTAAACATAAATTTACTGGAAAACCTAGCAACATACCAGAAAACTTTCTCAGCATACAATGTATAAATTTGTTAAGTTAGTCCAGTAAAATATACCTAATCCACAATATACAGAGTTGCTAGAGTTTCCAGTAAGAAAATATTAATTAAAATCAATCAAGTTCCCGGTAGTACGTGTGAATTTTTTGAAAACAGATGTTTTCTCACCGGATTAAGAATAAAGTGGGGGTTATTTGATATTTTTGGTCTCTGTTCCTGTTCATAATAGCTGTTAATTCTAAACCAACACACTTAAAAGACAGTAGTGAGGATTACAATGCATAGATTAAACACCTGGCCAGACTGTACTTGAATAGGCATGAAGTTAATCAGTTGATTCTGTGGTTCAAATAAAATTTCAACTACCAATAAAATATTCTTACTACCGACATACACTATGCGAAAAAAATACTACATCCTGTCAAACTTTACTTGGAAACTTAAGTCAGCTGGGAATGGGGGATGATATCCCAAAGAACAAACTTAAACAGTAACAGATGTTGCTAGTGTCTTCTAAGGCAGCTTACTCTTATTAGAAGTAGTGCTTCTGTATTGCTAAACATAATCAGCAGGAGAGCAAGTTTGGTGTTGGAAGATGAACTGCTCATGGTGATACAAAAAACACATCACATAATGATGTCTCACCACCTCCATAGTACATCTTGGTCCAAGCCACCATCTTCATCTCTTGGTTGGATTAGAGCAGTGACTGCCTGTAGATCTCCTTGCTTCTACTCTTGCCACCAACAAAAAAGTCAGTAAAAATGAAGTCAGTATATAATTGGAGGGTTTTGAACAGATACTCCTCTGCTCAAAACCCTCCAATAGTGACCGTTTAACTCAGCACTAAAACCAAAGGTCTTAGAGCATCTGACCCCTGCTATCTCTCTGACCTGATCTCCTGCCACTCTACCCCTTGCCCATTATATCCCAGACATGCTGGCCCCCTGATTATTCCTCTGTACTGGCCAGCGTGCTTCTGATTCAGGCCCTTTGTACTTTCTGTTCCCTCTGCCTGGAAATCTTTTCTCCAGTTGTTCACACGGCTTGCTCCCTCACTTCCTTCTGGTCTCTGCTCAAAGGCCGTATTATCAATGTAGCTTTCCTGGACCATCCTATACAAAACAGCACCCCATTCCCCACAAAGCAGCAGTTCCAATATTCCTCAGCAGTTTCTCTTTATCTACAGCACTCATGTTATATTCTTTTTATTGTTTATTATCTGTCTTCTCCTACCTTGAGGTCAGGGTCACCATCTATTTTGTACATTGCTCTATCCCTAGCACCCAGCAGTCCCTGGCATATTGCTCAGTAAGTCCTTATTCAGAGAAAAAATGACTCCTGCACCAGAATTATTGTCTTTCTACTAAAGGGAACCAGACGTCTTAGAGAAATTGCTGATTCTAGGATTGGGGCAAAAAATGAGTAAGGAGAGTTTGGAATGTCTTGTCAAATTAGAAAGCAAGGAAAATGTTAAAGACTCCTAGAGTTGCATCAAAATAACTTGAAGAAGTAGATGGGACAGTTTCAGCATTTAGAAAAATAAAAATAATAACTACAATGGATTGAAATACTTCAAATGTATCTAAGTCTATGAGTTTACAATGATTCTAGAATTTAAAAAAATATCCACGTTGCTTAGGTATAGAAGATGCTAAGGAACCAATTCATTATTTGAAAAACTAGTACAACTTAATAAATGGAAAAATCAAGCTTTGTTAATCATTGCTTCATAATTGATCATGTTTCATTAATATTCCACTCCTCGCTCCCCGGCCATCTCTGAACTATTTTGAAACAAATTCAAGATACGCCATTTAATCTATATTGTAATATAATCTCTAAAAGAGTACTCTTTTTAAAAACATAATCATAATGCCATTATCACACTTAAAAATATTCCTTAATATCATGAAATACCCAATTTTCAATTTTTTTCTGATTATCTGATCACTAGTTTTCTATTGCCACTGTAACAAATTACTAATAACTTACTGGCTTAAAAACAACACAAGTTTATTACCTAAACCTAACAGTTAACCTACACAGATATTACTGGGTCAAAATCAAGGTGTTGGTAGGGCTATTTTTCTTTCTGAAGACTCTAGGGAAACTGAGGCTGCCCAGTTCTCTGGTTCAAAGCCCCTTCCACCTCTTCAAAGCCAGCAAGCATGGGTTGAATTGTTTTCACATAGTATCACTCTGATCCTCTCTTCCGCCTCCCTGCTCTTCCACTTTTGAAGACCCTTGTGATTACATTGGGTCAAACCAGGATAATCTCCCCATTTTTAAGGTCAATTGACAAGCAATCTTAACTCCAATCTGCAAACTTAATTCCTTTTTGCCATATAACATAACATAGTCACAAGTTCTGTGTTCATGGACATCTGTAAAGGGGCATTATTTTCCCTACCACACATCTCCCAACACAGTAATTTTTTTCTTTGTTTCTAATTTAATTTTTTTGTTTTTAGAGACAAGGTCTCTACTCTGTTGCCCAGGCTGGAGTGCAGATACATATATTTGAACATTTTTCTATAGTAAAAAGTTTTGAAGAGTGAATAACTGAATTGTTTCATCTTTACAACAACATTTCAAGGTACTGTCAACTATTTAACAGATCAAGAATATAAACTTCTGAAAGGATAAGTAACTTGCCCCAAAACATGTAGAATCACGAAATGAGGCAAATGTTTTTTGAACAACTGCTATGTACCAAACAATGCACTGGCTCTACCAATATGGACAAGACAAACATGATTTCTGCCCTTACTGAGTTTAAAGAAGGTTATAAGCCAGTAAACAGTCAATTATATTATAGTGGGATAACTGCCAGAAAGGTGGGAAAATGCTGAGTTTCACTCACAAGTTTATGCTAAGAGCCTGTAATGCGGCAGGCGCTACGCTATGCGTGTGTTCACAGTGGAGGACAGCACATGCATGTTAAAGTTGGAGGCGCCTGTACAGATCATTTATTGAATATAAAAACTCAGGAGAAGTATCTAAGCTAGAAGAATTGATTCAAGAGTCACCAACATATTGACGACATTTGAGTCTGTGGGAGTCAATGAGACTGTTTCAGGGAAAGTACAGCATGAAAACAGAAGAGCTCCTTAGGCGGAAAGCAAATAACACAAATACCTTAGGGACTGACAGAGAGGCAGGAGAAAAACCAGAAGAGTATGTCACGGAAGCCAGTGGAGGGGAGCAGAGAATCCGGGATCCAAAACCATGTCTATTTCACTCCAAAAACTATGTCCTTATGCATTAATTCATCAATAATTATTATGGACCTACTGTGTGCTGAGTTCTTTGCCAGTTAATGTCTTGATTCATTAAAATATGAAGTCAGAGCTCCTTAAATGTGATCTAAACCTGCTAGTACTCACTTCTGGACCAGTTTGGAGGAGGGGATAGTGATAGTTGAGGTGATTTATTTCTGCTATTTTAATTTCCTTACTGAGCCTGCTAGGATAAATGTAGGAAAAATGTATGAAGGCGTTATTATTTTATTTTCCTTGAAGTCTCTTAACAGCTTAGATTATCACTTTTAAGCCCTTCATGTATTCTGTAAAATATGAGTTTCTTAGATAAATACTACTTATTTCCATAAACCTGACTGCCCAAAGTTTTTAGCCATTATAATTAATGGCTGCAAGGTTCCTGAAATAAAACTTAAGGATAAAAGGCTGTATTCTTCACGTTTTGAGAAACATTTAGGAGAATTTACATAAATTGCTTTAGAAGAGAAATGTGGCCAGGTGTGGTGGCTCAAATCTGCAATCCCTGCACTTTGGGAAACTGAGGTAGGAGGCTCACTTGAGGCTAGGAGTTTGAGACCAGCCTGGGCAACACAGTGAGACCCCCATCTCTACAAAAAAAAAAAAAAAAAGTTTGGCATGGTGGCATGCACCTATAGCTACTCAGGGATGTGAGGCAGGAGGATAACTTGAGTCCAGGAGCTCAAGGTTGCAGTGGGCTGTGATGACATCACTGCACCTCAGCCTGGGCAACAGAATGAGAAACATAATTATAGATCTAATACTTTTGCTAAGGACAAACAGGCTTAAAGTACTAAATCTATTTTATTGTACAAACTTCATATTGGTGTGAATACTTCAACTACTACATTTGGATTAAGCTAAAGCAGCAAAGAAAGTTATGGGGACAAATCTAGGAATAACTATAAAATACATTTTGATTCCTTATTTTAAAAATCCTATAATACTTCATTCTCATTAAGTCAGAAGAAAGGCTGATATTGAAAATATCAATGGATACTAGGCCGGGCGCAGTAGCTCACGCCTATTATCCCAGCACTTTGGTAGGCTGAGATGGGTGGATCACTTGAGGTCAGGAGTTTGAGACCAGCCTGTACAACATGGCAAAACTCTGTCTCTATGAAAAAATACAAAAATTAGCCGGGCATGGTGGTGCGTGCCTGTAATCCTAGCTACTGTTAGGCCGAGGCAGGAGAATCGCTTGAACCCAGGAGGCAGAGGTTGCAGTGAGCCCAGGTCACGCCACTGGACTCCAGCCTGGGTGACAGAGTGAGATTCTGTCTTAAAAAAATATATACATATATATATCAATCAATGGATACTAATACTCCCCCTGACAAAAGACAAATGTTGACAGCCCCAACAAGGCAGAGGTCATAAGTGAGATTTTATGGTGTGAAAAACAACTGGCTCAACTGCAAGAGGTGTTCTTGTTAAAAACACTGAAGCTAATGTTGTGCTTGTATAAATAACTGGGATACATCAAAGTGGCACTCTCGGGGAGATAAAGTATTGTAATTCAACATCTCAGGAAATATGTTCTCAGTGGTATGGTAGCAATTTTACACATACTAAATTGGGTAGCAGTCATGGCAACATGCTTGCATACTATTGTGTGCAGCAAGTGCTTTCTTCTCTGCCCCTTCCCCAGCCATCTCAAACAGATGGTGGCCAACAGAAGCAAAGAATATGTGCATTTTGTCTGTCAAGCTCCTTATGCTGAAAGCCTAAACAATAGTCTACTCTTCATAATCCAGGCATGAAATCATATCCAACAGAAATGGAGACAGTTAAGCCAAGATCTGGGATCAGAGGAAAGTACATTCTGGAGACGATTGTGCAATTTTTAAAAAATGAAATCAGTGATTAAAAGCAAATTGGACAGATTAAACTATTACCATTTCTCTAAGCAGTGGAGAATGCTGGTATGTTTGCTATAAAGCACTGGAACAGGTGCACCCAAGTCTAAGTATCAAATATTTCCACATCTTCAGGAGGCTAGCTTCTTCCATTAGCAACCAGCCTTTCAACTTTAAGAACGCAGATTAAACTGGATCTACAATATCTTAATTAAAGTGAGTGTGGGGACTTGGATTATGTTCATTTCTCTTTTTAATTTCTTATATCACACATAACCAAAATTCATGCCTTTTTCTCCTAGCTGATCTTATATAGAAAACTTCCATTTGGTCAGAGATACAAGTAAAAGCAACCCAGTATGTACCCTGAAGATAAAGATATGAGATCTTAACATATCTGGTTCTACCAGCATTCAATTAAGTCAACAAATTATTTACCACAATATACACACAGAATTTTCTTTCTTTCTTTATTTTTTTTTTTGAAACTGAGTCTCGCACAGTGCAGTGGCGCGATCTCGGCTCACTGTGACCTCCGCCCCCCAGGTTCAAGCAATCCTCCTGCCTCAGCCTCCCAGGTAGCTGGGACTACAGGCACACGCCACCACGCCCAGCTTATTTTTGTATTTTTAATAGAGATCGGGTTTCACCATGTTAGCCAGGATGGTCTCAATCTCCTGACCTAATGATCTGCCAGCCTTGGCTTCCCAAAGTGCTGGGATTACAGGCATGGGCCACTGTGCCTGGCCCAGAATCTTCTAAATCATCTTAATATCACTGTTCCATTTTCTACTTAGAGTGGGAAGACAAGTCTATGCTTTTATTGTAGGAGGCCAATGGGCTTCATTTTCTTAAAAAAAGGAAAAGAAATAAAAAAGAATAAAATTGAAATATTAAAAAAACAAAACAAAACTGAGACATAATGCATGACCTCAGGAATACTAAAGAGGATCAATGGTAAACTCATGCAGACTTTGTAAGCTTAGAATATATTTAAAATATTAAATTTGTACAATTTTGCTCATATTTGGATGAGAAAACCATAAGGACATACATTAAAATCATTTTATACTCATATTATGTCTAGAGTTCTGACATGTCTTACTTCCAAAGTCACACGAAAGCTACATGGGTTTGGCTTTTACCATTTTCCCACCAATTTTCAACTATTTATACAAATAAGAAAGCAGCCTAATTTCAGAAATGAAGGAGAAAGGTACCTACAGTTTAAGTTGACCACATAAATAGAGTTCTAATCATGTAGGGGAAAAAAAATGAAGCAGGAAAAAAAAAAAGAGATATTTTAAGATTTCTCAATGTCAATATCTACAACGTCTCTAATGATGAATACAAGTTATTGTAAAATTTAAAAATTGGGATACTCCTTAAATTTCTATTACTACCACTAATTCTCTAAGATATCTCTCAATTAAAGTCATTAGCTCTCCAAAATAAATGATACTTTATCATTTTTCAAAGTTATGTTTGAATTTAGCATCTTTTAAAAGCAGAGATGGTAGGTCAGCTATTTTATGGTGGAAGAAGCAGCACATCTAGCATAAAAACTAAATTTCAAGATACATAGGCTCCTAGTTCTGGGCTTTCTAGCTGTGATGTTAGAAATGTCATCATTCTGGGTCTTAAGTTACCTCATCTGTAAAACAGCAATAATAACTACCTCAAAGGGTGAGAGGATTCAATGAAGTAGTAAAAGTGTTTACTTATACTTCCTTGAATCTGTAAGAAATGCTTCATACATGTCAATTATTATTACACTCTGACATAAGATCTTACATAGTTAAAAAATAAAACATCCACTCATTCAACAACTACTTAGTACATACAACGTTTTAGATGTAAGAATTCTTCTGGTGTGGAAGATACATTTAAGGATAAGATATCTGCCCAGAAAGAGTTTATCTTCTTAAAGACACTACAGACAAGCAAATAGGCAATCACAGTATCTCAGGACTAGTGCTACCAAGGGTGCTGATGGCTGTCAATAAAGTCTGCAACTAACCATGCAGAATTATCAAGCATTGTTATTCTTATTCATGCGTTTGAAAACCAGTGTTAACAAAACTTTTTCTGTAAAGAGCCAGAGAATAAATATTTTAGGCTTTGTGGGCCTTACAGACTCTTGCAATATTCAACTCTGCCATTGTGGCATGAAATCAGCCATAAACAATACGTAAACAACCGTACCGTAGCTGTTTTCCAACAAAACTTCATTCACAAAAATCAGTGGTGGGCCAGATGTGACCAAGGAACACCATTTGCCAAACTTTGGTTTAAACCATATGCATCAATTAATAGAACAATTCTTTATGAAAAGCATATATGAACAAATGTAGATGTCTGCCTTATAAAAAGTTTAATATTTTAATCTCAGAAAGAGAAGAAAATGGGGAGAAAGAACAGCTTTCACAGATGAAGCCTTGCATCAGCACTGGAAAGCTTCCAACACGCAAATAAATTTCAATGAAGGAACAATTAGAAGAAAAAGAAAACAGGCAATTAATGGTTGTTACTTTTATTTTTTCCTGAGAATCAGAAACAAAAATCTACTTGTTATGTAAGGAGATGGGCATATTTACATGTTTCACACCCCAGTTTTGACAATGGACAGCTCCAGTCAGGGCTTTACGGCAAGAGGGCTGTTTAGTTTAATGATGTCAAAATGCAGGGGAGCAGATGGCAATAAAACATTATTAGAAGAGATGAAATATACGCAACTGGTAGCAGTTTACTTATTCATATAAAAATTTTAAAATGGAACCAATAAATCTATCCATCTTAGCTAGGCAAATTTAGTTATCTCGATTTATTACTGTAGTGCAAAGCCTACAATGAAATTTGGGATGGTTGTAGAAACAGTAATTTCCTTTCTCACCCCTATCTCCCTTAGACTTCAAATAAAAGATAGAATTTATATCCACTTATAACTGAGATGCACATCATTCAGTCTTTGATCTAATCAAATCTCACAAATATATTTGAGTCTTTCTCACAAAAAAAAAACAAAAAAACACCGAAACAACATATCAGATCTCTCCAAAGCTCAGTCTACAATGAAGTAAACAAGCTTTTCTTTATTGCTAAATGTAGCACACACCAGAAGCGGGTATGATTAAAAAAAAAAGAAAAACACATTAACTAGAATCTTAGCCAAATGATCTAAATTTCAAAAACGGAGTTTAGATGCAAAGAAAATGTTACTTGAAACAGATCTTAGCAGTTGCCAGTCACTTGAAGCTCCCTATTATCCAAGGCAAGAATCCTTTCTATCCCATCCCTAACAGATACAGTCCTCCTTAAATACGTTCACTGATACTGTCTTTTGACTTAGGAAAATACAGTATTCAGAGTCAAAACAGCTGGGTTCAACTCACTACAGAACTCTAAACAATTCTTTTGACTTTTCTCAGACACTGCTACCTCATTAAATAATGCCTATTTAAATTTTAAATTTTAATGACATTACCTTATTGTGCATTCTTATAAAAATATCTGTTACAACTGAAAGTATTACAAAAACAATGATTACTACTAATCAATGATAGTCATCATTCTACTGTTAAATGTTAAATGTTTGTTCCTTTTAGGCCGCCCATTGTATTCATGAGTTCCCAATCCTCAAATAGGGATGGTGAAAACTCCTCAGATGGGGTACAACAGAAGCAAAAATTAACTATTCATTTTGAAAAGCAAGTTTGTGTTTTTTCCCGTTTCGTTTGATCAAAAGAAATTTATACTGTCCCCAAAAGACCTTCAAATGGTCACAACTTTTATATGTATAGCTTACTTGTATCATGCTTCTTCAAAACACAAAACAACTTATATTCTAAAAAAGAATCATAAACTTTTGTTTTTACATTCTTGTCAATTAAGAGCCTTTGTCTTTACTACATATCCAAACTGTCTCACAGAGAAAAGCAAATCACTAAGATAAAGCTTATATACATATCACCTAATTCACATAAAGGGAATGGTGCCTCAACAAGAGCATAGAGAAACTGTTATCTGTTCAATACGGACTATCAGAGGTTAAGAATGTCTAATATTGGCCGGGCGCAGTGGCTCACGTCTGTAATCCCAGCACTTTGGGAGGCCGAGGCGGGCAGATCACAAGGTCAGGAGATCGAGACCATCCTGGCTAACACGGTGAAACCCCGTCTCTACTAAAAATACAAAAACATTAGCCGGGCATGGTGGCGGGCGCCTGTAGTCCCAGCTACTTGGGGGGCTGAGGCAGGAGAATGGCGTGAACCTGGGAGGTGGAGCTTGCAGTGAGCCTAAATAGCGCCACTGCACTCCAGCCTGGGCAACACAGAGAGACTCTGTCTCAAAAAAAAAAAAAAAGTCTAATATTAAATGATAAAATACTACTGCCTTGAGTATATCGCCATAATATCATATCAACTAATATCAATATATGTTTTTATTTTCCTCAGTAGAATGCCTGCCTCCATGGACACGTTTAATAATATCCACTAATTTCTTGTCAACACCAGGGACATGAGAGTAAACAGGGCTCAACTGGGAGTTGTGTGTACACACAATTAAAGAAAGTATGAAGGTAGCATTCTAATATGCTATAAACTGAATACAATCCTCCACGGGTGTTTTAACAGAGGATACATAGGTACTCTATAGGGAGTCAAGTTCCCAGAGAGGGCAATGGTTAAAACCAGCAGCCCAGTTAGGTTAAAGTGTAAATACCCTGCAGTCACCCTGCCCAGGGAATTCTCTCCAAAACACTGCCACTGCCCAGGGCAATATTCATTATCTATCTCCAGATTGGATTACCTGAATAACTTCTTAAATGGTCTCCAGGTCTCCAACCTTAATCTCTACAATGAAGTCATGATGATCTTTTAAACACATTAATGCTATAATAATCTTTTAATAATGCAAGTCTGATTTTGCCACTTCCGGCTTATAAATGTTTTAATAGCTTCCTTTCAGCATCAAGTCCACACTCTTACATTCAAAACCCCCATTAATGCAGCCAACCTTCTCTCTGGGCCACTAGACAGTCTTAAACATACTGAACTACTTGTCTTTCCTACCCGAAGCCAAATTCTCTCAGTTTTTGCATATGTTGCTCCCTCTCCAAATCGGCCTCTTCCTAAAAATGTTCAAGGGTCGTTGACTACATGCTATTTTGTTTTAGGCACAAACATTAAAATATTGTTCCTGCATAAAATAGGACTTCACTATAAACAAATACATATTTTACCTCAAGATTGTATCCTCAGAACTTTAAGTCTTTTTCTTCCCTTTCCACTGATCCACACCTCCATGCCTCTGAACTGGGACTCATAGTTTGATTTGACTCTTCTTTGCACCTTTTTGATGATTTCTATATTATATACTGGTGTTTTGCATCCGAGCTAATTTGTCCACAATGACAAAATGGGCGATCCCACATTCCTAATATTTCCTCTGCATTCCACTGCTTGGTTCCTTATATGCAGTAAATTATCACATTTTTTTTAGATGGGGGTCTAGCTCTGTCACCCAGGTTGGAGTGCAGTGGCACAATCCTGGCTCACTGCAACCTCCGCCTCCCAGGCTCAAGAGATCTTCCCATCTCAGCCTCCCGAGCAGCTGGGACCATAGGCGTGCACCACCATGCCCAGCCAACTTCTTTTTTTTTTTTAATTTGTGGAGATGGGGGTCCCGCTATGTTGCCCAGGCTGGTCTCAAACCCCTGACCTCCAGCAATCCTCCTGCCTTAACTCCCACACTATTGGGATTACAGGTGTGAGCCACAGTGCCTAGCCCTCATACTTTTGAGAAAAAAAAATTCCTATCATGGGGCTTTACAACT
This sequence comes from Homo sapiens, assembly GCF_000001405.40. NCBI lineage: Eukaryota > Metazoa > Chordata > Mammalia > Primates > Hominidae > Homo > Homo sapiens. The sequence continues at coordinate 94,623,981 of NC_000004.12, read as the reverse complement.
GTTATTATTTTTTAATTTCCAAAAATAAATAATGTATTACTAGTTATGGTACTGCTCATGTTCACGATCTTAATTCTGAAGAGAGTTAAATGCTTCAAGAAGAGTGGAGCTCCCTTCTCCTTAGCAACATGCTTATTTTCTAATAGCAGCCTTTGGCAGACAGTGCTCCCACCTTTTCAATGACTGTTGTGGGAATTTCAAGTTTGGCAGGAGGACAGAACAATATCCTGGCAGATGAATTCTGCATCCTTCAGATCGTATGATGTCCTAAATAAGACAACTGACTTCTCTACCCACTCACTTTCTCGGGGACATTTACTGAGGGCCTATAAACTGTGCCAGGCATTGTTTAGATGCTGTAAAACAGATCAGTATGACTTGGTCCCTGTCCTCAAAGGAATCTAAAAACAGTCGTAAAAGACACCTATGTAAACAATTAAAATGAACAGGATGAATGCTATAACAAAGACATTATTGAAATTTTGTAGGAGTATTGAAAAAGAACAGGTAACAAGAGGGCTCAAGAAAGCTTCACAAAGGGGGAACAAGCTGGTCTTAAAAGGTAAAGAGAAGTTTGTCAGGAGTAGAAGGGATGGAAAAGCATTTCAAATAAAAGGAGCAGCTTGTACAAAGCAGAAAAGTGTGTGCCAAGGAATGATATGAACTCATGAACTTCAGTGTGAGTGGACTATAGGGAACAGTGTTATAAAATGAAGCTGGAGAAGAAGGTTGGCCTGAGATTGCAAGGGGACCAAAAATTCTGTTAAGAAGCTAAGCATTTTGACCAGCAGCAGACAGCCCCAAACATTTTCAAGCAGGGACATCACATGAGAACCAGTTTTTGGACAGTAACAATGTAAGTTATTAATGCCATCAAGAAAAGGAATAAAGGCATAGAAAGTTAACCTCTGAGTATCCTCTAAGTATCTGCAGCCTAGTTATATCATTTGATTTCACAAGAATGCTATAGGAGAAGCTTTTAAGGTCTTTATTTTAATAGTTAAAGAAATGGAGGCCGGGCGTGGTGGCTTATGCCTGTAATCCCAGCACTTTGGGAGGCCGGGGTGGGTGGGTCACGAGGTCAGGAGATTGAGACCATCCTGGCCAACATGGTGAAACCCCGTCTCTATTAAAAATACAAAAATTAGCTGGGTGTGGTGGCAGGCACCTGTAGTCCCAGCTACTCAGGAGGCTAAGGCAGGAGAATCACTTGAACCTGGGAGGTGGAGGTTGCAGTGAGCCGAGATTGTGCCACTGTACTCCAGCCTGGGCGACAGAGTGAGGGAGGAAGGGAAGGAAGGAGGGAAAGGTGAGAAGGAGGGAGGGAGGGAGAGAGGGAGGGAAGGAGGGAGGGAGAGAGGGAAAAGGCTCACAAAAATGCTAACCTTCTGAAATTCATACCTGCAAAGGGCAGGCATTTCTATTTTGGGGGGCCACCACCAGTCAGAAAACTGGCTCAATGAACAACGGGTCCAGATCTATCAAAGCATTGCTTATATTCTAATGAATTATTCATTCTCATTTTGTATATGATTAAACTAAAATTAGAAAACTGATGTGTTCCAACACAGAAAGGCTCTTCATGACTTTATGACTGAATTTGTGAAAAACATTTCATTACATTTGTAAGATAGTAATATTTTATACATACATTTGTATCTAATGAACTAAATTTACCTAAGCTGCTATCCATAATTTAAACAGGAACGCATAAACACATGATGAATCCGCTATCACCTTCTAAATCAAAAGACTTTTTCATTTGCATCAGGAAGCTTTTGAAACTATTTATCTAAGACTAAGAGTACATTCTGAGATGATTTTGTTGTTGTTATTGTCTTTAAACTATGGTATACCATTGTGTAGGGCAGAAGAATTTGAGTGGCTGGGAATTTTGTTTTTATTTTTAAATTTTCCAAAATAGTACAAAATAAGTTAACTTTGCCACAACGTAATAACTGAATAAATGCCTGTTTATAGCACCTGGAGCAAGATAAATAAGAACTCAGTAAATATTTTCAAAATTGAGCTAAGAATTATGATGTAATTCAACTGTGACTTCACAACAGGAAAACATTCTTTTTATAATTTTGTTTTATAATGTTATATAATGTATAATGTTTTATATTGTAGTTTTGCTCATATAAAATTCATTTATATTTTCTAGAAAAAGCATAATGTTTTAAACACTAACCATGTGACTCATTATTATAATTGCTAATATTGGCCTACTTTGATTATTCTCACAAATTTCATTAGACTTGGAGAAAGCACTCCATCGCCCTCTTGTGGTAATTTTGCTGTACTATATTCGCCAAGAGTTCAAAAAAATGAACTTTTTCTTTCCACTTAAAAGGCAGAGCAGTACTTTAACCATAAACTTCTGAACTTCCAAAGGCCGTATATAAACTTTCTGTCCTCCACTGTCCATATACTTTGTGCCTTCTCTTCGGTTTCTACCTCAGAAATTTAGTCTTTTCGTTGCTTTTTACAAAACATTCTCCTGTTAGCTTCCAATTACCATACCAATAGCATTTTTCTGAAAATTACTTTCTGTATTCAAATGCACAAAGTAATTACAGAAAATCTTCATCATCATACATAGGCTTTAAATAAATAGAAATAACTCAAAAATGTATGGGGCTGAGCTTAGCATTTTTTCCCCAAAAGAATAGATCATGGTAAGTCAGTTAATAGTCCAGAAATTTCAGAGACTAATAATATTAGACTAAGTGTTTTTTAGTAGTCCAGAAATTTCAGAGACTAATAACATTAGACTAAATGTTTTAAGTTTTTAGAAGTAATGAAAGTCTTTCCTCTAAAATAGTCTAACTCATATGCCATGGCCTGTCCTCTTTCCAACACAATAGAAATACTTCTAGCTTTTTTTTTTTTTTTTTTTTTTTTTTTTGAGACAGAGTCTCACTCTGCCACCCAGGCTGGAGTGTAGTGGCACCATCTTGGCTCACTGCAACCTTCGCCTCCTGGGTTCAAGTGATTCTCCTGCCTCAGCCTCCTGAGTAGCTAGGACTATAGGTGCCCACCACCACGCCTGGCTAACTTTTCTTTTATTTTTAGTAGAGACAGGGTTTTACCCATCAGGTGATCTTGATCTCCAGGATGGTCTCGATCTCCTGACCTCGTGATCCGCCCGCCTCAGCCTCCCAAAGTGCTGGGATTATAGGCGTGAGTCACTGTGCCCAGCCACTTCTAGCTTCTTAGCAAAATTAGTGACATGTTAACACATGCCACTATAAAATAGACTGTATAAATAACGTTTTCTAAAAATAATTTATAAATAATTTATTTAGTATCTAATATATTTAAACACTGTGAAAAATACAAAAACAAAGATGGATTCCTACTTAATTAACTAAAAAATTCACTCTTACAAATCTCAAAAATATTCTTAAAAGAATAATGAGTGACCATTTTTTTTTTGGAGACAAGGTATCTCACTCCTGTTGCCCAGGCTGGAGTGTAGTGGTGCAATCACAGCTCACTGTAGCCTCAACTTCCTGAGCTCAGATGATGCTCCCACCTCAGCCTCCCAAGTATCTGGGACTACAGGCTCATGTGCCACCATGTCTGGCTAATATTTTATATTTTTAGTAGAGATGGGGTTTTGCCATGCTGCCCAGGCTGATCTCAAACTCCTGGGCTCAAGTGATCCTCAGGAGCCACCGCACTCAGCTATGATCAATTCTTAAAGCTATCACATTGTGAAAAGTGGCCCCTTGGGTACTCAATCAGCATTCATCTCAAAACTGATGAAGAACGACTAGAAATTAGAGGGCTAGGTGAAGAAGTACATTCTGTACAGAGTGGTAAGAACTTTCAAAAGCATGGTAGTATGCCATGTCTTGGAAACTGAAGATGGTTTAGTGCAACCAAGCACAGATTATAAATTGGGTGAAGCAGGAGATGAGGCTGAGAAGTTAGTAGGGGCCAAAGTATAAAAGGTCCTAAATGATTTGTTAAGGAAGGGTGGGATAGTCAAGCATCCACAGCAGAGGAGTAAAGCAGCAAATCAGAGTTTGAGAAAGATCACTTGCTGCTGGCCAAGCATGAGAGCTCACACCTGTAATCCCAATGCTTTGGGAAGACAAGGTGGGAGGATCGCTTAAGCTCAGGAGTTCGAGGGCAGCCTGGGCAATATAGTGATATTCCACCTCTACCAGAAAAAAAATAATAATAATAATTCCCAGCTACTAGGGAAGTTGAAGTGGCATGATCACTTGAACCTTGGAGGTTGAGGCTACAGTGAGCTATGATTGTGCTACTGCACTTCAGCCTGGGAGACTGGGCAACAGAGTGAGATCCTGTCTCTCTTTTTTTTTTTGAGATGGAGTCTCGCTCTGTCGCCCAGGCTGGAGTGCAGTGGCGTGATCTTGGCTCACTGCAAGCTCCACCTACCGGGTTCATGCCATTCTCCTGCCTCAGTCTCCCAAGTAGCTGGGACTACAGGCGCCCGCCACCATGCCCGGATAATTTTTTGTGTTTTTAGTAGAGACAGGGTTTCACTGTGTTACCCAGGATGGTCTAGATCTCCTGACCTCGTGATCCGCCGGCCTCGGCCTCCCAAAGTGCTGGGATTACAGGCGTGAGCCACCGTGGAAAAAAAAAAAAGAAAAAAAAGAAAGATCACTTGCTGTAGTATGGAGGTATGGGGGACAGACTGAAGGAGGGGAAAGGAGACAGGGAAATTAGAAGTCATTTGTAATGAAGAGGTCATGAATCAAAGCAATGGCTCTGATGACACAGAGAAGAAATTTGAGAAATAATAAAAAGTAAAACCATTAGATGTTAGTTACTGTGAGAATGTGGGGCGTGGGGTCTAAAAGTCTACATTCTAGCTTTGGTGACTGAGTGGATGTGCAATTCCCAGAGATAGGAAATGGTTATTTTCAGACATACTGGATTTGAGGTGCCACCAGGAGATGGCAAATAGATCACTCAGTTGGAGAGAAAGATCTGTAAATTATCGATAACTAAGTAATGAAAGGAACCTGGATGAGAGATCACCCAGGGAGAGCATAAAGAGTGAGAAGAGATGAAGGCTGAGTCTGAGATTAGCAACATTTAAGTACAGTCCCATTTTCCTGTTAAAAGGGGTACTTTTTTTTACATAATCATAAACTTTGTTCATGTTGGGAGAAATAGGAAATGATTTAGTCTTTCTTCATTTTGCAGATCAGAAAACTGAGGGTGTCAAAGAGGTTATGTGACTTTATTTAAAGCTGTTAATCTGTAGAAGTCAATGAGAACTCAGGTTTCCAAACTGAGGCCAGGCAGTTCCATCCTGCTGCTCAAATGCTCTTTCTAGTACTGTGTCCTTCTTCCCCTATGCTACATAAACTGTAAGAACAAGAATTGGAAGATGCTTTCTTCAGTAATTGTTTGATGGCAATAAATGTTTCTGTGGTTGTTATTTGTACATATCATCAAAACTAAAATGTTATATTTCCAAGGATAACCTTCCAACAATATAGTTGTTATTAAATAAGACCCAAATTTACAATTTAACACATGCTTCCTATTCTGGGAAACAAGGAAATGCCCAATCCTACAATTATGAATAGCAAATGCGACTGTATCAAATACACACAAAGAATGTTTATGAGATGTCTCAGAGAGAAAAATAGCTATAGTTTAATCCTGATAGTCCTTTCTAAATCTTAGGTTATTGAGAATGGGTTTTACCAGTGAATTCTACCATATATCCCAGAACACATTTTCATAATGAAACTCATTACGAAAAGCAAGACGCAAGAGATTTCTCTGGGCTACCTCCTTGGTTTGGCCGTTGCCAGCTTGGTGACTTGATGACGCCAGTGGATCCTACAGGCTTGAAGGCAGCTGCAGCTGTGAGGCTGGTAACCCCTGGTCTGCCAGAGGTTGGGCTGTCCAGGCTCTCGGGCATGCTCCGTGTGGAAGCTACCGAGGAAGCCAACTGCGGAGAAGGCTCCTGAGAGTTACTGTAAAGGAAATAAAGAAACATCTTTGGTGAAGTGGTAGCAACGTAACTCAGCAATAATCCTTTCTTTTCAAAATCCATTAATCAATCAAAATCCATTGATTAATCAATTCTTTAGAAAAGAAAATCTTTGAAGTCATGACTGAGGGATTGCCTCTCTTTAAAACTGAAAAAAAGAAAAAGGAGTCAGATTGCATTTGTTTCATACTTTGAAAATTCTTTCTAAAAGGTCTACCATGAGAAATTAGGCTACTGAAAATTTACACAGTTAATCATTTTAAATGATAAAAGTCTCCCTGACACCTCAGCCCTTACCAGTTACTCTTTTTCTTCTTCTACTTTTTTTTTTTTTTTTTTTTTGTAGACACAGGGGTCTCACTATGCTCCTCAGGCTGGTCTTGAACTCCTGGCCTCAAGCAATCATCCCACTTCAGTTTCCGAAAGCACTGGGATTACAGGTGTGAGCCATCATTCCCAGCCCAGTTACTCCTTCTACTCACATACTCACTCATTCATAAATATTTAAGCACCTACTATATGCCAAACGTTGGTTGTGCTATGCACTGGCCACAAAACAATAAACAAGAAACAACCCTTGCCTAACAGAACACCCAGTGTTATGCATTCATAATAAAGGGAAAAAAGAGACAAGACTGCCATTATCTTCTCTCAACCAAGAGTTACCTGTTTAAACAGCAGGTCTTATCTATGCTAGTTCCAGTTTGGTTTTGAAGATCATATGGCCTTTATTACCAAGTCATTTGTGATTTATAACTACATATAACATCATTTCCAAAAAAAAAATAATAATTCTAGGTAGCCCAAATTATAAAATATATGCTTTGGTATGATATAATACTATAGCAGTGGTTATTTCTTTCAAGTAAAGTATAATAACAATTCTTAAAAGTAATACTTTCAGGCTGGGTGCAGTGGCACATGCCTGTAATCCCAGCACTTTGGGAGGCCAAGGCTGGCAGATCACCTGAGGTCAGGAGTTCGAGACTCATTTCCTCCAGACTTGGTCCCATGCACCTTTTTCCTTTGCTAATCTTGCTGTGTATTCTTTTGCTATAATAAATCTTAGTCAGGAGTGCAACTATATACTAATCCTGTAAGTCCTTCTATCGAAACAATAAACCTAGGAGTGGTCTTGGGGCATCTCTGACACTAAACAGTTTTGAAAAACAGTAAGAATGATTTTCTTGAAATATTGCTCCCTATTCTTGTTCTCTCAAATGCAAGTGTCATAGAGCCATCAGCTTTTATTATTTTTGATCAGTTTAACTTAAAAAACTAAAACCTGTTTGATGATAAAACACGCTATACAATAAAAAACTTTAAGCACTTTAATAATCTTTATCATAAATAAAAAGTCAAAGACTGCCTCCCTCATGGGAATATTGAACACAATTATCAGTAAAGGCAACACAACAAAAAGCATTAATGGAATCAGGGTTTGAAATTACAATATAGTGGTTACGAGCATCTTTTAAAAGCACTGTGGTGGACAAATTATTTTACATCTCTAAGCCTCAGTTACCTGTACTTTAAGTGTACCGAGTAACATTTTGCTCATAAGATTTCTACGAGGCTTAAATAAGATAATTATGTATAAAGTGCTTAGCATACTCTAAGGCACAGAATATAACCTTAACATATTAAAAGGATAATTACATAATTACCATATTCAAATAATAAAAGTAAGCCTTATTTTCAACATTTTTACTCATTACAAATAAATGATTTTTGAAATACTTATATAGAGGTCATTTTCATTCTGGGATTAAATTACCCTTGCGGATTTGATTTTTAAAACTAATTAATAATGTATATAATCACGGTTCTAAGAAAAAAAATTATGACCAAGCAATGCTAGGAATTATAGATGAAACAAAAATATATAGTCTGGAAATAACAAAACCCAATCCATCACCATTTAATGTGTAGTCATCTGAAAGAATCAAAATTTAATTCCAGGAGAGCTGCCAGACAAACTGACTTAAAAGAGAGGAATTCAGTGTCAAGCTTAATATAGTTTGGGTGAAGGAACTGGTAATAGTAGCCCAGGTTATGAAAAAACCTAGAGAAGCATGACAGCCATCCTCAAATGTCTGACCTGCAGATTCACTCTATGTAACTACATTGTTTGCCTAATTTCAAGGAGTGAAATCTACAGTGAGATGGATTTGCTTCAATAAAAGGTGATTCCTAATATAAAAAAATCCTCCAAAGGAAAAAAATCTGTTCCTAATGAGGCTTTCTGTGAGAGCCCTGTCACCAGAAGCCACTTAAGCAGAGGATGGAATGCCGCACAACGAATTTAGCCATTTAGCCTGTGGAAGGCTCAGTTATATTTCAGCATGACATACAAAGCCTTCTAAGATAAAGCTACAATCTACCAGTCTAATCTTATCTCCTATCACTATGCTATACAAACTATATTCTGGCCACCCCTACTGTCGTCCACAATTCTACCTTTTTTTTCCAGATTCTATATACGAGGTACCTCTTCCTACTCTCTCTCTGCACCCATCCACATCTTATCCATAATTAATAATAATAGAAGTAAATATAATAACGCATCATGCACTGTGTTCAAATTAACATACATTATTTTGTTTAATTATTGAAGCCTCCAGCAGTAGAGACACTCTTTTTAATTCAGGACATTCGTTAACTGCATGGCATATAATTTTATGCTGATTTGTAATAGCTGTTTTAAAATTACTATTAATAGTCACTTCTTTATGCATCTTGTCTCCTCCACTTCATTATAAACTACCTGAGGTTGGGGACTTTACTGTGACTGTGGGTAAATTATTTAAACTTGGTAAATTTCCTCACCTGTAAAATGGTATAAAAATACTACCTTTATCCCAAGATTACTGTTAAGAATTAAATAAGATATGAGATAATACATGCAAATTACTTAGCACAGTGCCCAGCAGAGAGTATATGCTCAGGAAATAAAAAGGATTCTTACTTCTACATCCTGTAATATCTGGTCTGGTGATAATAAAATTAGCAATAAGTACATTTACTAAATAAGCATCCTTCATCTGCACTAAGAATTTTGCTTCTAAATGTACTATGGATCACTTGGGTGCAGGGTATTGACCCCAGACAAAATCTTGCTTCCTCAATTCAGTTTTAAAAACACACAATACTTCTTAAAGTTCCCACAGAATAAGTATCATATAAGCTAAAGAAATTTCAATTTTTGATTGTACCTTTTGTACACAGGTTTGTATACGTTCTCTCTCAGAGGCCTAAGATGTTTAAATCTTAAACAGTACTCTTTAGCTACAAAGGGCTTGGAGTAGACTATAAAGAATTCATAGAAATCTAAGTTATTACCAAGGCAGTTTTTCCATTTATGCTTAAATCCAGAATTGATCTGAAGTTCAATTTTCTCTGAGGATAAAATTTAATTGAACCATTTAATGTTGTAATGGAAGAATATTAGGGTTTATCTAGACAATCATATATCTGAATATATGATGCCCAATCCCCTAAAAATCTAACATTTTTTCCCTAATTTTAACTATTAGCTACTATTTAAAGAGCATACATAAACATTTGGTATTGGCTGGGCACAGTAGTTCATGCCTGTAATCCCAGCACTTTAGGAGACCAAGACAGAAGGACTGCTTGAGCCCAGGAGTTCAAGACCAGCCTGGGCAACACGGCAAGACCTTGTCTCTGTAAAAAAACAAACATTGTACTAAAGATGAAAGGATTGGCTGGGCGCGGTGGCTCATGCCTGTAATCCCAGCACCTTGGGAGGCCGAGGTGGGCGGATCACGAGGTCAAGAGATGGAGACCATCCTGGACAATGTGGTGAAACCCCGTCTCTACTAAAAATACAAAAATTAGCTGGGTGTGGTGGTGCATGCCTGAAGTCCCAGCTACTCGGGAGGCTGAGGCAGGAGAATCACTTGAACCCGCGAGGCGGAGGTTGCAGTGAACTGAGATCGCACCACTGCACTCCAGCCTGGTGAAAGAGCAAGACTCCGTCTCAAAAAAAAAAAAAAAAAAAAAGGATTAAAAGTCACTGGCCATATTATTTTATATGTAGGAATAAAATATTATCAATAATCACTAGCAAGAAACTTCTAATGATTAATGTATTAATATAGTATAGCATTGTTACTTAAATTAGATTGCTATTTTATTTCTGAACTAATGATTCAAATATATTTTCTAAATTTAAATTATTTAAGGTGTAACTAAATCCTAAATAAAATTTAAATGTTTTCTAAATAATTCTAATGAGGAAATTGGTGTAAATCCATAAATACCCTTGGCTGATACCACAGATACTGATATTAAAATATGGTTATTTTCACTAATCTACCAAATAAACAGGGACTGAAATGAAATAATAGATTGATATGACTTCTATCTTAAGAATACCAAGGTTTTTGTTTCATTTTTTCAAAAACTGAAAATAGAGACAAGTACACTAATAGAGCAAAAGTTTATTTTCAAGATGGAGCTAATGAGGAAAAACGAAAAGGAAGAAAGTTAACCTCAGTGTCAGCAACCTGATTTATCTTGAGTTTACATTCCTTTCCCACATTTGTTTAACTGTTGCAACAAATAAAGCTCAGATACAGATTAAGAATACTTGGGAATTTTAAGTCCATTTTCAAAGGAAAAACTCTGCTTGAAGAATACTTTTCAGAGTAACTTATTCTAATTACATGTTTAAATTTTTTAAAAGACAACTGTACATCACAGGTTTAATTATCAATGTTTAAGTTAAACAGTTTTTGGCTAAAGTCTTATCAAAAAATGGTATACTAATATACAGATTCTGAAATGGCAGGAAAGGAATATTTCTGGAAAGGCCTTAGTTACAAGCAATTGTTTATTTTATAGAATTCCTCTGTCAGAACGCCTTTAAAAGACCTGGACATGTAGAGAGGGTAATGAGTGTCTTTCCTTCCAGAATTCTATATTTAGAAGAAAATTTTTAATATTTTCCTAAGCAAAATTCTTTAACTTAGAGTTTGTAAACCAAAATTTAAAGTATAATATACTAATATATATTATAATGGAAATATATTTTAATGGAAAAATATATTTTAATGGAAAAAAATAAATAAAAACTATTATACTATATTTATACTTTTAAAGATTACTATCACACAAAAGTAAAAATCAAGACAAAATGTCTCTGACACATTTTATGATTACTGTCATACAAGATAAAATATATCTGGTCTTTTGGGTACTCCTCTCACTAAGTTAGCAAGGGTCTCCTCAGGAAACCCCAGAATGCCAACTAGACTATCTTTTTAGAAACCATTTCCCTCTCTCAATATCACACTATATTTTGTCTGTGTCCTATTGTTAATAAGAAGCAATGGTGATGACTACTAATACTCGCTCTAGAGGTGGGGCCATAGATAGCACAGTCAGTCCATAAATGCTTGCACACTTTTGCATGTATATGCACGCAGGCACTTTTCTGGAGAGAGGATCTATAGCTCTTACCGGGTCCTAAAAGTGTGGTCTAAGTGTACTCAAGTACTCAAAGTGTACTCTAAGCATGGTCAGTAACCTGCCTCTGTACAATCTCAGCCCTGACAATGAAAGACTTCTGCTCAATGAACACTCACAATATTCTAATATAATTTCAGGTATTGTCTTCTCTTAGAGAAAAATGTACTATGATCTTTCTCCCTTGTTTAAACACCTCCCTTAAAAGTTACCCAGAATAATAGGTAAATATATATATATTTTTTGTTTGTTTGTTTGCTTTTGTTTTTGTTTTTTGAGACAGAGTCTTGCCCTGTCGCCCAGGCTGGAGTGCAATGGCGCAATTTCGGCTCACTGCAACTTCTGCCTCCCGGGTTCAAGTGATTCTCCTGCCTCAGCCTCCTGAGTAGCTGGGATTACAGGCACCCACTGCCACACCCGGCTAATTTTTTTGTATCTTTAGTAGAGATGGGGTTTCACCATGTTGGCTAGGCTGGTCTCGAACTCCTGACCTCATGATCCACCAGCCTTGGCCTCCCAAAATGCTGGGATTACAGGTGTGAGCCACTGCACCTGGCCCAGGTAAATATATTGAAAAATCTCTATAAGAATGGTTAGAATACAAACATCTAATCAATAGACAGCCTAGTTATATCAGGTTTTCACTTTGCCTGATATATGTTGTACACTTTGCCACTGATTTTACGTTCTGTCAAAAATCATTGTATACAGTTATTTCATTGAGATTATATCTTTAGTAAACACTTGTGATAGTTTTATTTTTATATTATGCCTAAAAATTTCTGGCTTAATCCTTAAGCTTAGGAGAAAAATCTATTTTGGTGTTTAGCATTTCCCAAATACAGTGAAAATTAAGTTGCTTTTCCAAGCAAAACCTTCATATTTAACAACTATAATATGTAGCCAATCAAAATTGATCATTATCATTTTCATTTTTCTAAAAGCTATGTCTTACCAAACATTTGAGGATTCTAATATAGCTATATCCATGCAATGAAAGACAGAAATTCTACTGCAATTTAAATACTTGCACAATTACTCAGAATTGCACACCAAACATCAAGTATGCTAAGGAAAGATGTCACAAAAGGTTAAAAGGTGAGTTAATAATCATAGGACATACTGTGCTTGTGCATTAGCATGCCACTGACATTACAGTTCATTCAAAATTGGGCACAAATCCCTAGAACTCTAGCATGTTCTCACCTGGCCTGTTAATACAGTGGTGGAGTGTTAGAGAAAGCAGTATGCTTAACAGCGAACCACCACTTGCCATATCTGCTCCCACAGTACCTTGTTTTCTTAACATGGATAGAGCCAGTTGATTTCCTTGAGGACTGCAGATAGGAAAAAGCTAAAGGCTTGGAGACAGGGCTGATGCAAAGTGCATCCAGGAGTGAGTGATATCTTTCAGGAGTGTAGAGCCTGGTAAGCATTTAGAAAGAGTTTTAAGTCAAAAATCACACTACCAATAGCAGACAGTAGTTCTTAAGGTCTGTGATTTGAAACATTTCCTTTACGAGAGAGAGGGTGGGGAGAGAGAGGAAGAAGGAGGGGAAGCACAAAGCAGCAAAGGAGGATGAAAGAAGATAAAAAGAAGCACCAAGAGTTTATTCTATCCCTTTACTCATTAATATAACATTGATTAGATTTTCACCAAAATGGTCAAAGCCATCATTTAGAAAGCATTTGAAGCTCTAAAGACTATAGAAATTATCTAAAATCCCCAAACCACGAAAACAAAACCAATTTATTCTTTTTGGGGAAGGACACAATTTTATTTTTTTAGGGGAGAGTAGTCTTCAGATCACCCTTTAAAGGTCGTGGGAGAAGATAAAATCAATAGAAACTTAAAATATTCATTAATACTTTATTGTTTCAAATATAAAACCTGAAAAATGTAAAAACCCAAGTGACAATAAGCACACAACATGTAATAATTCACGCAACTGAGAAATACCATACATAAATGGCAGCAGTGGAGAGATTAAAAGGTGATTTTTTAAGAAAAAACCAGTAACAAATACTGTGAGATTTATCCACAACCTAGATAAAATATGCACTACACAATTAAGAGCTCACAATAGAGCTATGATTGCTTCAAAGGGGCATGTTTTCTTTGAGGTGACTTGTAAGACAGTGAAGAGCGCTGAGATCACATCAGACAGACGCTGTACGTGTAGTTCTACCTGGTTTTTGTAGCAATAACAGCAGACACAGTAGCAGCTGCGCTGCTCAGAACTGCAGCACTATATCTAGCAGGAGAAGAGAAGGTAGAAAAGTTTCGAAAACCTTCGAAAGAATCTTCCACATTTCCTGTGGAGCTGCTTAAACTGACAGGTAGGGAAAGAAAAACAGGAGAGGAACAAAAAGGAAAGTGAGAAAGGGTAGCATAATAAATACAAGAGAGCAACCATTTCATATTAATATCTAAGCATTATAAAAGTGTGAAGTGTAAGAAGTGTAATAGGAGTTCAGGCCATTTAGTCTGTGCTCCTACGGTTTCTCTCAGAAGCTAAAAGCTGATGTATAATCCTCCATAAAGCTGATTTGGACATACGAATACTCTTCAATGTATTTAAATTCACTGACTGTATTCCTATTTAAAATTACCTCGTATCACACATTTGAAGACTGACTTGCCAACAACTTAGTAGAAAATAAATCTAAACGTGAAGTCTGAATTTCTATAAGCATAGAAAGAAGGAAAATTGTTTTTTCCCAAAAAGTCTCTATACAATGAGCTTTACCTTAGAGACGATATATACTGACAGCGTGACATTTTAATACGACTTATGTTTTCAGGAGAAGCAGGCACAACAGACTGCTTATCAAGAAGGAGCAATATATATTAACATGAAAAGAGATAATTGTTTAAAATATTGAGAGTAAAGCTATGTAAGGAGGGAAAGTACCTTTGCGAAAATAAACCAATGTTACAGTGAATATGATCAAAACATCACCTTTTCTGCTGAGTTCCATATTTCTATTTTCAGTTAGTTCTGTAAGCATTTTTAAATGCAGGTATAGCATTTTATCTTCAGAACTAATAAGTATTTATTAATTAAAATAATAATTTTCCCTTGGCCTTTTAGAAAAGATCAAATGCCTGGACAGGAATGAACATTCTATAATTATGACTGTAGTGATTTTCAAATTGGTTATTAAGTAAAATAAAAAGAGTGTATAAACGTATAGTGTGAAACTTGTAGTCTCTCTTCTTCATTTATGGGTGCAACTTATCAATGAGCATCATCACTACAGTATGACCACTTTTTTCAATGGCCACCTCCAACACAAAGTAATTACGTGGCAAACTCGACCTCTGGTTAATGTGAGCTTAGATGTCTGAAACTGTGAGGGTTGACATAAGTCTCTTTTTCCTGTCAAAAGAATTTGATAAGTCATTCTTCCAATTTCCACAGGCTATAACTTTACAAAAACGATTAGAAAAAAAATTAAGGAAATAGTTGCAAGCTATGTTTTCAAAATGATACAGAATTAAGTAATTTTTCTTTTGGTCTATCTAAGTCTATCCATTAAATTAAACTGTATGGCTAAGTTTTAACAACTGTTAATGAATGGTTAGAAAAGAAAACGTCAGGGTCTGGAGAGAGAAAAGAAAGATGTTATCAATGGCAGAGCAGGGTAGGTAACATGAATGTCAAAGGGAATAATAAAGTTATCATGTGATTCCACTTCTGAGTTTCTGCATTACTCTGCATCTCTGAGACAATGGTTACTATTTGGAGACATAATGGTGAATAATAAGAACTAGAAACTTAGTATATTGAAAAATCACTTAAAAATAAATCAGCTAATTTTTTCTTCTCCAGGAAGAAAAGGAAACGGTAATGAATTTCTTTCATCATATTGCATCACAAATAATAGAAAAGGATTTAGTATCAGCAGAATCTAGTTATATCTCATAAGCAGTTACTTATCTGAGTATCTTTAGAATATGTCTGGGCACCTGGTAACATATTGTGTATGACCTTTACCTGTCTTTGAGGCAAATGCTCTAATTCAGAAAAGGAGACTTATGACAAAGCCAGCAAGTTAACTTTCCAAATCACAAAGTGAATAAATGAAAGAGATTTCTTGATTCTATATTAGAAGTTATAAACTAAACAAAAATAAAAATATAAAAGCAGTGAGAAGCGCTGTTTTGAGGCTGAGTGCCAAGCTTTCTTGTCTATAGGTTAATGATGTCCGTTCTGTAATCAACAATCATTTTTTCTTTTTCAAACAGTTTAGTATATTTAAATTCACTACCAGCTTTGAAATTTAGAAACACCAAGAAGGAAGAGTCTACCTAGAATAAGTAGTTGCTACTTTAGAAAGTGTGGCCACTTGGCTACCAATAGTTAACACCTGAGGAGTTGCAGGAGGGTGAGGTCCACTCTTAGGTAGGTCTTCCAGAGCACTGTCAAACCTAAGTTTTCAGAAGTAAAATATATAAGGCAAAGGAAATATTAATGAAAAGTACAAAAGACATTTATCATCTATACCATCTTTTAAATGTCTACTAGTTCAATTTTGGGAACACTATTGGTTTTCTTTTACTTCACATCTACAAATGGTTAAAACAAAACCCAACACTTCTGCCACCACAAAATATGGGCTGTTTTCCCCCAAAATTCTTTAATATGGCTACTTCTATGTAATAAAATATTACGCTTACAGGGGAAAAGGAGGTGGAAATTCCCATTCACTGACTACGTGTTTTGAATGCTTTAAAAAAACTTAGGCTCCAAGAAGTTAATTAAGTTGCCCAATACCATACATCTAGTAAGGGCCAGGTGGAATTTGGACCAGGTCTGCCTGTATTATTTCCACTATATAATGTTTTCCAGAACATTGTGAGACAGCTACCTAAAAGTGTCCTACAAGAAAGCAACCAAAAGTTTCACGTCAGAATGTTCTGTCTGTAGATCTGAAGTTATATGGATGTTGTGTATCTTGATGTAAACAAACTATTTTATCTGCTCATACAACAGATGGTGGCATGCAATCGTAGGGTTTTGAGTATTCTTTACTTTAATTTTCTGATATCTGTATTATTTTTTATATAGAATGCCAGAAGTAAGTTCTAGAAGAACTATTGCCAGGTAAAGAAAAAATGAAGAACTCAATGTTAAGTTCAAAAAAAAGAAAGCACCAAGTATAAAACTTTGGGAAGAAAAATAAAACAGGAAAAATACAAAATTAGCCATTAAAAAAAAAAAGTCTGTGGATAAAAAAATAGAATGGTCAGTCATGTTACACTGATTTTCAAATGGATTAAAAAATAGGAAAGGAGAGGTTATATTCCTGTTTTTTATTTCACATTAGTCATACCTTTACCAGAGTGTTGAAAAAACGTAGACAGTTGAAGAAAAATGTCATGATAGAACTAAAACATTAAGAGGTAGAGCAGAAAGGTTAAGAGACTAAGAAATATAAGAACCATAACATGGGTCAGCAAACCACGGCATGCTGGCCAAATTCAGGCCCTGCCTGTCTTTGTATGGCCTAAGAATAGTTTTCATATTTTTAAATGGTTAATGGTTAAGAAAATCGAAATAACAATACAATGACACACAAAAATTATATAAAATTCAAATTTCAGCATCCATAAATAAGGTTTTATTGGAACTTTATTGGAACATAGCCAGGTTCATTCTTCATATGTCTATGGCTACTTTCATATGATATAAGAACTGACTAACTGTGACAGACCATATGGCCTGAAAAATCTAGCACATTTCCTATCTGGACCTTTACAGAAAAAAATTTGCTGACCCCTGTCCTAGAAAATAACTTCTCTACACAGCTACCAGAGTGAACTCTGAAAAATACAAATGCCATCATGTCTGTTGCTTAGACCTTCCAGCCCTGCTCTAGGTGATCTTGGGCTACCTGTTCTTCAGCATTATGTCATGAAGCTTGTCCACTCTCTTTGGCTTGCTCCAGTCCACTGGGCCTTCCATCTCTTTTTGAAATAGGCCCTGCTTCTATCCCCCTCCTGGCCTCTGCACAGTCTCCTACTCCTCACTGTCCTCAGCCCTCGTTCTACCACACCCTCACTGGGATAACTCCAAGGCATCCTTCTGGCCTCAGTTTAAATGTCACCTCCTCCCAGAAGCCTCCCTGATTCCCCAAGCCACCTTAGCTGCCCCTGTCATGTGCTGTCATAGCAGTCTGTACTTTTCACTCATATAATTTGTTATTATTATTATACAATTTGTGTCGTTATTTGTTTAAATCCAGACAGTCTCAGAAGACTAGAAGCTCCCTGATACCAATAGTTACTGATATACATGAAGTGTAACAAAGTGCTTACCATAAAGTTAACAAATATTTGTGAAATAAAAGCTTGAAATTTATTTTTTCCAAATAACGAATTCACAATATTTGTAAATTGAAAAGTATTTGTACCTTCTAGAGACTGTGTCACAATTCTGACTAAACAGATTTTTGCCTAAGTGGACACATGATAACTTGAAAGAAATGAATAGTGCTCCCAAAATACCTTTAAATAAATATTTTAATATTAAAAATTTATAAATATTTCAGGAAAAAAGAAAATATGGTTATAAATTATTATCAATATCTACATATTACCACAGGACAGATTAAAAAAAAAAAGAAAAGGGAGTGAGTTGGAGAAGTTGAGTCTTCCAACATCTCCGTGAAATATGCTGATTGGAAAAAAGCTGAGTGCCATTTGAGAATAAATTTCATATAAATCATGAAATACCTTTGAAGATGATCTCCAAGTCATCTTCCAAGCAAACGCACTTGGGAAGTTTCCCATGTGTTACACGTATTGATTATCTCTTCATTGCTTAGCCAAACTCTAAAAACCTGACTTAAGACAAAATCTTAAACTACCTCATTTACTATGGAACAAACATCAGTATCTGTTCTCATTCTGACATTCCCCAGTGTTTACTCCTTTTAGGTTGGAGGAAGCTCTGATTAATAGCATATCTGCAGCAGCCAAATTTTCTGCCTTGTCTTGCTTAAATGAGTTTTCATTTCTCACCAGAGAGGGTTATGAAGACTTCCTCTTTCCCAGATAAAGTCTTTCCCTTTTGGCTTGCTTTTCTCAGGATACATGAACAAAGAGCTATTCATGCATTGTGTCTATTTCTGCACCATCTCTGCACTTGTTCATTACGGACCCTTGTGAACAATCTGTCCAGCAAATCAGGTGTGAGTTGTCCATCTACTAATTTACCATCCTTACCATCCTGTAGGACCAGTAAGAAGAATTCTTTTTCTATCCCCTAGTCCGGACAACTGCCCAAGAGCAACATTCTAATGCTGTGTACTCCATCTCCTCCCTTAATCTCAGTGGCCTCGATTAATCCATCTCTCCTTCTCTACTGGATGCTTTGTGTCCTCTTTTAAAATGCAGTAGTTTCTCTTAAAAACAACAGACTATCTTTACTTTCTATTTTCCTGTTCCACTTACCAGCCAGACTCTGAAATAACATTATACTCACTTGACTGTCAGTCTTCAGCCATCTCAACTAGACCCCAACCCCCAACACTCTATGAAACTGCATCTTGCTAAGGTCACTGATGACCTTCTTGTGGCTAAATTCAATGGACAATTTGCATTCCTCATTTTAAAAACTGTGGTAAAAAATACATAACATGAAACTTACTATCTTAACGATTTTCAAGTGCACAGTCAGTAGTGTGAAGTACGTTCACATTATTGTGGAAGAGATCTCCAGAAGTTTTTCATCTTGCATATTCGAAACTCTATACCCATTGAACAACTACCCCTTCCCCCTCCCCCTAGCCTGTGGTAACCAGCACCATTCTACTGTTTCTATGAAGATGACTACTTTAATTCTTTTTTTGGAGACGGAGCCTCACTCTGTCACCCAGGCTGGAGTACAGTGGCACAATCCCGGCTCACTGCAACCTCCACCTCCCTGGTTCAAACGATTCTCCTGCCTCAGCCTCCTGAATAGCTGGGACTACAGGTACGTGCCACCACGCCTGGCTAATTTTTGTGTTTTTAGTAGAGACGGGGTTTCTCCATGTTGGTCAGGCTGGTCTCGAACTCCCGACCTCCAGTGATCCGCCTGCCTTGGCCTCCCAAAGTGCTGGGATTACAGGCGTGAGCCACCACACCCAGCCCGAAGATGACTACATTAGATACCTCCTAAGCCTGACCCGAAGATGACTACATTAGATACCTCCTATCAGTGGAATCATACAATATTTGTCTTTTTGTGCACATTCCTCATTTTACTTAGTGTCTGGCTCAATTGACTACTGCTTCTCTTTTCCTGTCATTTGTGCCTCAACCCTATTTACCTGCCTGTTTTTAGTAGTATTTCACTGGCTATTCTGTTGCCCGAGAGTTCTCTGTCCTAGGCTTTATTTCTCTGTACTCTGCTATCATTAGTACAGTGACATTACTCTGTCCTGTAGCTTTAACACCACCTAATGTCCAGATTTATATCTAGCCCAGCTGTCTCCTATGAGCAGTAGCCCATATTTTGAATTGCCCTTTAGTTATTAATACCTCTAATATCTCTCTGTCTCAAATCATCTTTCACCATGTCCAAATGACTCTACTTCCAAATTTATATTTTTAATCTATCAGTGGTGTGATGGGTCCCCTACCAGGTTACTTAAGGGTGTTATATTCAATGCTTGAAACTTGAGGGCCAGGCAGTTAGCTAAGGCCATGGTGCCTAGCCGAGAAGCAGGGGTCCCTGAGAACGCAAACATCCTGAGGCATGGCTGGGAATATACCAAGGAAAAAAGTCCCAGCACACTCACACACGCGCGCGTGCGCACACACATACACGGCAAAGAGCCAGAAAATTAGCTTAAAAGCAGCCTAGAGATGGGAGGCGGTGTGGATCTCTTGGAGCCATACTGCTGCTGTCCAGCAGTGCCCTGTATGTATGTCCTAATAAACTCATCTACTCATCAAGCTGGACTTGTCTGAGTCATTCTCTTGGCAACGTCCCAGTTTTCCCAGTTTGCGGAGGGTTGGGGGGGCATTACAGTCCCAAGTTTTTCTCATTACGCCATCCATCTACCCCATTTCTCTGCTACCACCCTCTCTCATCCAGACTATGATAAGCACTAACTTATACTAGTGATTTAAGAACTGTCTAACTGCTCTCTTGCTTCCTCTCTTGCCAAATCCTGCCCCTTCCAGCCCCTGTGTTTTCTGGCATGGTTTAGTATAGCCCATGTGCCTTAAGAAAAAACAACAAAACACATTTTATCAAATCATTCTTTTGATTAAAACCTTGCAACAAATTCCTACTGCAGTTAGGATAATACCCAAAGTGCTTAACATTCTCTACAAAATCCCCAAATGACCTGTTATGATCAACCTCTCAATTATCTTTCCACACCAATTTTCCCTTTATTCACTGAACTCCAGTCACATTAGACTACCTGTACAATGTCTTGAACAAACTAAGTTCTTCCAGGATTCAGGCTCTTGGTCATTAATGATAATATTATTACTTTTACTTCATTTTTTAACTTACATGTAAATCATTTGTTAATAATAAAAGCAAATATTTTTTCATCGCTTAATATGTATCATCATATTTAATCCTTCCAATAATCTTTCAACCCTGGTACTAAAATTATCCTTGGTAATTTACTAAAGTTAGTACTTTGGTATATGGTGGAGCTACTGTACTGGCACCCATGGTTAGAATAACTTCAGTGGAATGAGGAGAACAAAAACCAGGCTGCAGGGGCCTGGTGTGGTGGCTCACACCTGCAATCCCAGCACTTTGGGAGGCCAAGGCAGGTGGATCACCTGAGGTCAGGAGTTCAAGACCAGCCTGGCCCACATGGCAAAACTCCGTCTCTACTAAAAAAAATATAAAAATTAGCTGGGTGTGGTGGTGGGTGCCTGTAATCCCAGCTACTCGGGAGGCTGAGGCAGGAGAATCACTTGAACCTGGGAGGCGGAGGTTGCAGTGAGCCAAGATCCTGCCATTGCATTCCAGCCTGGATGAGAGAGCGAAACTCCGTCTCAAAAAGAAACCAGGCTGCAGGATGGTAAAGTTCTCTATCAGTAATAAAATTTCAAAATGTTAATTTGGGTCATCCAGATTTTGATGGAATTATATGCAAACTATGTTCTAAGAAGAAATCTGTCACAAAGGCGAACCTTAAAAAAATCTTAAAAATAATGCAAACATTTTCTTTTACAACATAAAAATGGCATCTTCAATTAAAATTTTAAATGCTTCCTATTTCTGAATATAAATATGATAAAATGATCAAATAGACTAGTGACTTATTACATACCCACACGACGAGTTTTCAATAAGAGGAAAAATTCACAAACCTTGAAATATACGTTTTATTAAAAGGTAAAGGAGGAAAATGACAATAAATTGTCCTTGGTATTCTACTTCCACAAAGCAAACTTTTATGTAATAATATTGCTAAGCAGAAACTAGAATATATCAGAGTCATAGCTAGATTCTGCCCTTTTGGGGTTCACTGGCATAGCAAAGCTATTTATTTTAGCCAAGGAAACTGCTAGGCATGTGAAAAAAATAAGTATTTTCTGCTGGCTTCCTGACAATAAATATGTTGAGTTTGCTCATTTGTAACTATGATCTCCCTTCTGGAAAACTAAATCAACTAAACCTCAGGTGGGAATTTCTGGTACTCTCAATCATAAGCTATCCATTTATTAATTGGTTTTCAATAGTCTTTGTTTCTGTAGCAGCCTGAAAATGTTACTTGAGCCTGCTAATTCTACCTTTATTACATAGATGGCATCTTGAGAATTTAAAAATAAGCAAGTAGAGTTATCCTTGCTTTGCACATGGCAGACAAGGAGGACTGGATCTTAGAGGCTAAAAGGTTATGAAATAAATTATCAAACATGAAAATACTACCCAAAATGAGGTTGATTTTTTGTAAGAGCAAAGAAGGACTAACTCAAAGAAATCATTTTTCTAGGAGCTTCCCACTTACTTAAGCAAGGAAAAGATAGGCAAACAAAAAGGGATATTGCTGAAGGAATTGGAACTTATTATTTGTTGTTATACAGTGAACGTTTGTGTCCCCCCAGCCCCAAATCATATGTCAAAATCCTAACGCCCTATGTGATAGTATTAGGAGGTGAGGCCTCTGGGAGATGATTAGGTCACACAGGCAGAGAGCGCTCATGAAAGGGGTCCCTTATAAGAGATACCTCAGAGAGCTCCCTCTCTCCTACCATATGAGGATACAGTGAGAAGGCATCATCTATGAACTAAGAAGCAGTCCCTCACCAGACACTGAGTGTACAGGTACCTCGATCTTGACTTCCCAGCCTCCAGAACTATGAGAAATAACTGTTTGTTGTTTAAGCCACCCAGTCCATGATATTTTTGTTCTAGCAGCTTGATCTGACTAAGACATTTGTATTAGGGAAAGAATTTCCTCTTTGATGATATTTTCCATTTTCTCACATCTTTCAAACTATGGCTTTATAACTCTTACACATTTCTCTGCTGTTGCCACTCCATAATGGATTTTATCATTATTAAGTGTTCAATACTTAATATTTTGTAAATTCTTTAGTTATCTAGAGTATTCTTTGATCTCTATATAGAAAATGTTCTATAGGGTCTAAAGCCAGGTAAAGAATGAGCATTTTTTATCTATACAAAATGCAAATATAATATGAAGATTTTAACGTGTAATGACAACTTAAAAGTCACTTGGAGCAATCCCCTGATAAAAGCATGACTCCCTCAGTAACTGCAGGGCACTTACCACTAACCTTTGGCCCTCTCACTTTCCATCATCAGTTTCTTCACTGGATCATTCTGATCCATGACTTCAGAGATTTATACTAGTTAGAAATAGCTTCTTATATGTGACAAAAATCTGCCATTTTGTAGTTTTAACATAATCCTAATATTAGAAAAAGAATTTATAAACAATAAAGGTATTTTTCAGATTCGGGATAAAGAGGAGAAAGGCATGTATTATTTAATAAATAGTGTTAAGTCAAGTTACCTGTTTGAAAATATAAAAGAATACGTCTGAATGTGTCCCACTGAACAGCCACCCACAGTGAATCCTTAAAGAGGCCACATGTCTTGAGAAAGCCAGCACAGTACCTCATGCTCCAGTGAGAGTGTCCTGTTGGCATTACAGAACAATAGCCAAGTGGCTACACACTCACTAGCCAAATATTCTGGATCATATGTCCCAAACGCACCCATTCAATCACTCATTGCATTCACTCATTCATTCAATAACAAAAAACAATTACTTGAATTCCCACTTTGTGCCAAGCACCTTCACACATCCTATTGTCTACTTTAATTTCCTGCCCTCATGAAGCTTACATTCTAGTATCCATTTTCCTGTAATGGACTCTGAGGATTAATCACATCATGCTTCCCACTTACCCTTGTTTACCTGCCACAATCAGAAGTTCAAATCCCTTGGGTCATCCAGCATCTCCTGGACTCTTATTTCTTCACTGCTTTGTGTATCTCCTAATCTAATCACTTCACCATCTATCACAGCCCTCACAAACCCATTACTGTTTTACTATACCTTCTTTACAGTCTCTTCAAACAGATGTTGCTTTTTCTTTCATATGCCTTATTCTTATAAACCTGGAGATGGAGCAAGTGTCCTCCTCATTACTGTTTTAACTACTATCAGTCATCTTTGATCCTCCAAAATCCCAAGTCCTTGGAGGCTCACTATACCATTCACTATAGGGCCTTCCCACTGTTTGTCTCTACCTCACCCACTGTTTTAGCTCCTGACTGCCTTCCTCTTCACCCCATTCCAACAATCTCTCATGATTATTTCAATAATCATGCACAATCACTGAATAAATAACCTTACTATTGAATTGTTTGATTTCTTCACTTTAATGATACATTCCCCTAAGGCTAAGCCTTACACCTAGAATATATCAGCATGCACTCCAAAATTCATAACCTTTAATTTTTCATCAACAAGTACAACATGTCTGAAATCTAAATTTTAAGGACCCTTTTTTTTCCTCACTCAGTCTGCTATCCCTCGATTCTATTAGCTTTTTTTACTGTACCAAATTGACTCTGACCAATCTCATTAGCTCTTATCAACTGAACTAATTCTTTACAAATTCACTGACTTACCAATTTTCCACTCTCCATTACCCTCCACCTCAATATTTCTATACACCTATCAGCTCTTTGTCTAAAATACAAACCTATCCAATGCTCTCCATCTCCACTGCCACTACATTGCTTATCTGAACTATGGGGATACTCATAACAGTCTCCTGCTCCCATTATTTCTCCCTTACAATTAATTTTCCATAGTATTCAGGGTGATCTGTTAAAAATATACATCAGATGTTACTCCTATGACTACAGTCCTATATTGGGCCTCTCATTTAATTAGAAAAATAATCTGAACTCCTTAACACAACCTACAAGGCAGTCAATAATCTGGCCCCTGAGTACTTCACGTAATCTCTTATCATTCTGTCTCTTATTTACTATGCCCCATTCATAATGGCTCTTTTTCAGTTCCCTAAACACACCAACTGATTCCTGTCTCAGGGACTCTGCATTTGCTGTTCCTTCTGCCTGGAGAGGACATCTCCACATCCTCATGACTGACTCTTTCAGGGCACTCACATTTCAGCTCAAATTATTTTCTTTTTCTCTAACTAGAGTCTAATGACCTTACTCTTCCCCTCCCCTCATTATATTCATGTTGTACTATATTACTTTATAGAATATATCATAACCTAAAACTGTATTTTTCCTTATTTTCCTTTTTCATTGCATGTCTGCTCTACTAGACTAAGTTCATAATAGCATCTTCATTTTCCTAGAAACCAGCACAAATAAGTGCCTCATAAACATTTGTTGGACGTATTTATTATATATAATATATGCTAAACATGAGCAGGGGCCACTGCTAATAAGTGAGGCCTGAGACTAAAGGAGAATGTTTAGAGGAAAAGACCCACTTGGATTTAGGTCAAAGAACCAGCCCAGATTATCGTCTAATATCAACTACTCATATAACTGCTTCTCACCCAAAGACAGCTTAATTGTCTCAGTGAGTCTTCAGTTGATTTTCTTGGGATTATCTATGTAATTGTCAGAGATTAACGTCAAGGACTAGCATAATATGCCACCAGGTGAGATTTACTAGTGCAGAACAGAACTACTGCTTATCATTTTAGGAGCCATACGACATGACTAACTCTTACTGGGTTTATTTTCTTTTAAAATTCCCACTTCTCCTTTGATATTTAGGTTTGCCAACCTTATTGGTTATTGAACATGTATGCTATATCTCCCTGCTTCATGGTACTCACAAATATGGGCAGCAAGTTGTGGATCTCCTCATCCAAGTCACTAATTAATCCTTTAAACAATATTCTTTGGTTAAACTACTTCAACCTTTTATGCATTTAAAAACATACTTATCAACCTCATTTCATTATTAAATTCAAAGGAATTTTAAGGGTCTTTCTTTGATCAATTGTTAAAATTAACATCTCTCCCAATCTATCCAAAATGTGTTAAGTTGGATGTGATGTGTTTCTTGAGAACTTATTCTGGGTCTTGGCAATTCTGCCCTCCTCTTCTCAGTGCTCACTAGCCATGCTTTTCAGAATGCCTGCTTGACTTTTTTCCAGATGATCTCAAGTTCAAATTAGTTTATGGTTAGAAGTTAACTTTTTTTTCCTTTTTTGAAAATCAGTACTATATTTTCCTTTTACCACTCTTCTATTTTCTTTCCCATCCAGGATTTGAAACAAACGCAGATAGTACTCAGTGAATCTCATCTGTAAGTCCTCTACATACCCTGAGCGGTAAGTCATTAAGAAAAAGAGTCTAGTGAGAACCATTTAGAATCACTTTCTGTATGGGGGGCTTCAAATCCCTCCAGGATATAAATAAACCTCTGGGTTTTGGTTATTTTTATTTGCTGTCTTTCAACACAGAGCATTTATTAGTTTCACCATCACCCTTGACGACATCACTTCTGTTTTTTACTTATCCCTTGAATAGATGTTATCTGATTGTTTTACCTTTCATATATAAAGGATTTTTGGTTTTACTGTTGGTGGGTGTACTTTTTGTAAACATACCTGTGATGCTGCTCCAACATCCCTGCTAAGAGCTTTGCTGATTTTAACAAGTATGTGATTCCACTGCTGTAAGCCAAGGGTAAACTTGATTCCACCAAATTTGCTTAAGTGTTACTTCTCTGTATTAAAGCTTCAAGTTCACTCACTGTCTAACCAATGATACACAGCTACCTGAAGACATTAAAATCTTTCAGAAATTTATTCTCAATTTTTTTCTTCTTATAAATTACTAGCATATCAGGATAAAGAATAAAGTGTGTGAAGAGGCAAAATAAGTGTGTACCACTAACTTGAAAATTCCGCAACAGGTGTCACCTTAGTTTTAACACATTCTTCTGTTCAAAGATATAAATTCAGAATCTTTGGGAGTAGTTAATTAGGTGCATCTGTGAGATGAACACCTATTACAGAGTTGGACACAGGAGTAGCATTCAAACAATACCCTTTAATAGATACAAAAATAGAAAAACACAAAAGAGAATACATGGACACATGAGACTAATTTTTAGATAAAAGCAATTTGTAGATAGTTCTTTAATTTGACTAAAAGGAAAGTGAAGATGTCTAAATATCCATACCTGTCATATGCTTTATACTATATAATATAATATATTGGTTCAATTTTCTTTTATAAAATCATATCATTCTAATAAACAAACCTTCACATAATATAAAAGTAGGAAAACTTGGACTTCTGAAACCTGCAATGTGTCTGAAATACATAAACTAGAATAGCAGCAAAAGATAGAAATTAAGCCTTCCATGATTTTGAAGTCTGCCTATCATCAATGCTCTTAATTAACTTTTGAAGTTGTGATTTCTTTTGAAGAAAAAAAAAAACTAAAGTGCAGGAGTCTTCTTCAATACTGAGTTTTAGTAAACATAAGTTTCTTTAATTATCTGGTTTAATTCAATAAAATAATTTTATTGTGTAATTTACTTCTCTAAAGGTGAAATGGAAAACAACTTATCCAAACAGCATTATAAGAGAAGGACTACCGGTCTGACAAAATTCTGCCTCTAAGGAACGTGGTGAATATTCTGGGATTATGAAAGCCAACTTGGCATATTACGAACACTGACTTTTATAAATAACAGATCTTTATAAGTGCTAATAGTACACGTTTAATTTGGTAAACAACAACAACAACAGGCATTTCCAGCATTAAACAGAATTAAACAATTTGGATGTGAAAATACATAGGAACTATGTTTCTTGGCTCAATAATTTTTAAGTACTAGTCTCACAAGGAACTGAAGTGTAGTAATTACTTATGTTCAACAGATGGCGACCTTTACATTGTAGTCAGCAAAACAGTATTTGCATAAAACAGTATACTCAACCAGCAGAAAATCAAAGATCAATTACAAATATTCCATATTTTGCAAGAGACAAAAATTACTTGATCATATACACCATTTTTTGACAGGTGGTTTTTTTACAGGTTGGCAAACATATTTTGTGGGAATGTATCTTGCTGTTCTATTTTTTGGGGCAAGTCCAATTGCTAATTCTTATCTCATGAAAATATGTGCAAATATCAGGCTAGGGAATAATTCCTGCTTTCTTTGCATAGCTTATTAAGAATAGCAGCTTTAGGTAATATACTCAACTAACGTGTCTTAATAAGGATATGTCACAAGACACCAGTATGTTTGTGAAACACAGCAATAATGAAGACATGGGATGGGTCAGCAAACTATTTCTTCATTAATCTATTTTGTGTGGGTCAATGAATATCAACAAAGTTTTAAAAAAACTTACAAAACAGTATGTTCAGAAATATGTAATTTATGCTTCCTAAATTTTCAATGAATGTACAAAGGTAATAGGTTTCTCCTTAAGAAGTAACATTAACTCTATTCTTCCAGTGCTAAAATTCCATTCTGATGGCCTTCAGCCAGAAATCATGTGGGCATTATTTGGTGCTAGAAGATAGCCTACAAGAAGACGGTTTCCCGGCTCAACATAACTGTTTTAGTTTGTGTATTGTAATTGGTAACCTGAGTTTGAATTGTTTTTCTACTAAAGGGAGAAGCAGTCACTCCTCTCCTAATGAGCATTTTAATTCTTTGACAATTGGGAAGCCATATCATACCTTATAATTCTTAACCATTGATATGGTTTGGCTCTGTGTCCCCACCCAAACCACATGTCAAATTGTAATCCCCACGTGTTGAGGGAGGGACCTGGCAGGAGGTACCTGGATCATTGGGGTGGTTTTCCCATGCTGTTCTTGTGACAGTGAGATTGTTCTCATGAGATCTGGTTGTTTAAAAGTGTGTGGCACCTCCCCCTTCTCTCTCTCTCCTGCTCCACCATTGTGAAGATGTACCAGCTTCCCCTTCACCTTCCACCATGATTGTAAGTTTCCTGAGGACTCCCACCCATGATTCCTGTTAAGCCTGTGGAACTATGAGTCAATCAAACCGCTTCCTCATAAATTACTGTCTCAGGTAGTTCTTTTTAGCAGTATGAGAACAGACTAATACAACCATAATAAATATGTGAAAAATCAGAACCCATCATTCTTTAAGCAAGGGAGATAAAGAAAAGACTGATAAAAATGTTTTGATCATTATTTTAGATATCCTTTTGCTAAACTAAAATACCACTTTATACTTATATATAGCATTAAAAATTTGAAACTACAAAGATTGATATTATTATAATATAGTAGAAAATTGAGAACATGGTGAGATCAAGAAAAACATTTTTTAACTTAAATATACTTTGACAATATGATTTTTTGGCATAAATGTGTGTGTGTGTGTGCATGTATAACATAATTATCTCTAAATAAAATTTTCTATGGTCTCCCATAATTCTCTATTCTGGTAGGCCATATATTATTAATAACTTTCTATTATTAATAGTTACTGATAAGATGGCTGTTGCCTCTTTTAAATCAATGTTGTAGATTAGATTCTTATATTTAAACATTTCCTTATTAATGATAAAATTTTCTCTATTAGTATTTCTGTTCAGAGCACTAACTAAGCATCTCATATACCTATTTCTAAAATTGTTATTCTCTCCTCATGGGAATCACCATGCTCTTCATGTTGAAACACACCAAAAACACAAAGGAAGACATTAAAAAACAAATGTTCATTTAATGAAAAAAAGTCTTTCACTAATTAACAAACAGAAAATATCAAGAAAAAAGTGTCAACTTTTGGCAATTAGATTACTCCAACAAAGTACAATTCCCCTTTCAAGTGACTTAGGTATGGTTTCACTTTACTTTCAATATAGGTATTAATGTTTTGATATTTTAATGTCTTGATATTTATATCGAACTTATATTCCATTAGAGATAGTGTGTGCCACGCTGTAAACAACTTCCCTAAAATTAGAGAATTGGAAAAATATGCAATTATATATAATTAGTAACTTTTAGTACCAAACATGGTGGGGCATACTAAAATTCTCACATTCAAAGAACTTTTACTGTAGTTGAGAAAAGAGAATATGGAGACAGATACCTGTCATCCAAAGGTAAAAAGGAAGCACCAAAAGAGAGGTGACAACAATGCTTCCAATTGGGTCCAAGTCAATGATTCTACTTAAGAATAATTTTTTCTTAAATGACAATCTGTCAAAATGAGGATTAGTATACAAAGACAGTTAGTGTATGTTATGGACCGAACTGTATCCCTCCATTATTCATATGTTGAAGCCCTAACCCACAATGTGACTATTTGGAGATAGGTCCTTTAAAGAGGTAATTAAGGTTAAATGAAGTCATAAGGGTGGGACCCTGACCCAATAGAACTGATGTCCTCATGAGAAGAAGAGACCCCAGAGCTTTCATGAGAAGAACAGACCCCAGAGCTTTCACTCTTTCTCTGTGCCCCCACAGAGAAAAAGCCATGTGAGGAGACACAGTGAGACAGTGGCCATACACAACCGTTAGGAAAGGCCTCAACAGACACCAACTCTGCTGGCACCTTGACCTAGAACTTACAGTCTCCAGAACTATGAGATAATAAGTTTCTACTGTCCCACCTAACCAGTCTGTGTATCTTGTGGCAGCCTAAACTGACTGAAAACAGTATATTTCTAACTGAAGAAACAGTTCACCAGAGATGAATTTTATAATCTTAACAACCACCTTCAAGATTAGTCATTTCATTGAATTGCTAGGCCTTTACTTACAGTTGCAGCTACAGTTGCATCCAGGAAGAAATACGATGACTACTAGAATGCCTTTTCCTTCCAATTTATACTATTACACTAAGACTTTTGTTTTTAAAGAGCTCAAACTTCGGTAGGAAACTTAAGACATGTAGACCAATATCCATAAGACAAATTAGAAAATCAAGTGTCAAATGAGAGGTAAAAATTGTGTAGCATGTAAGTTCAGAGGTGACAAAATTATTCCTACTGTGGGGTGGGGCAGTGGAGAGGGCGCTCTGTAGGTGAGAATGTATGATTGTGGGAAGGAATAAGAAAATCTAGGCCAGACGCAATGGCTCACACCGACGATCCTAGGACTTCGGGAGGCTGAGGCAGGCAGATTGCCAAGAGTTCGAGACCAGCCTGGGCAACATGGCAAAATCCTGCCTTTACAAAAAATTAGCCAGGTGTGGTGGTGTGTGCCTGTAGTTCCAGCTACTTGGGAGGCTGAGGCGGGAGGATCACTTGAGCCTGGGAGGTCGAGGTGCAGTGAGCCATGATGGCGCCACTGCACTCTAGCCTGGGTGACAAAGCGAGACTCTGTCTCAAAAAACAAAACAAAACAAAACAAAACTTGGAAAAGGGAATATTTACACTCAATGCAGTCATTCTCAGTAGCACACAATTGGCATATTGGGCTGGATGATTCTTCAGTCTGTGGGATTCTTCAGTGCATTACAAGATATTTAGCATCCTCCTTCCTTTTAATGTCTGTACATTAGCCTACACATTTCCAAAGGCTACTCAGCAACAGAATCTCCCCAGGAGAGAACTAGAAGTAAACTTTTAAGGATGTGAAGAAAACAGATGTGTTCTAACAAAATTTATTAAGTGAAATTAAATGGCTAATACTTAAGATTCCAAATGCTATATATGGAAGACTATAACATGCAAAATCATAATATTTTAAGTACTGCTTTCCTGTTTTAAGTGTTCATTACATTTACTCAGTAAATCCTAATTTCCCATTTTGAAGCTTCTCATTTCATTGCTTCATTCACATATCTCTGATTATATTTGATTTCTAAATACATTTGCTTGCTCATTACTCTTAGGCTGCCTGTGATGAAGTCAACAAATAAACATCCTTAATTTAAGGCAAAAAAATAAAGTAAATGCATGTTCCTTTTGACTTCCACATGACTTTCAGTCCTCCCTTAACTGATCTTTTACTTTGAAGACTTCTAAATGCTGTGTTTGTGATCTGGGTTGAAGATCTAAGGAGAAAAGATGAGAAGTGACCAAGGCAAAGAAAGTGATGAGAAGATGAATAAAAGAGAACCTGTGCAACTGAGGTCTAAACTGGGGTCTACAAAAATATGATTCTTTTGCAGATCAGGTTCTCCAGAAAGCAGAGCTTAGCGCTTAGCATGCAGGATGCTTATTAAGAAATGTCTCTAGGGTCAACAACCGTGAAGGGGAAAGGACAGAAAAGGAAGCAGGAGTGGGTAGGAGAGGTGGAGTTGCAAACAAAACTTAGGACAGCCTCAGCTGATACCACAGCAGCTCAGGAGCTAGAATGGTCCCTCCAAGTTGGTCTTAATTGGGATGAAATAACCAGGTTTTTTACTTCCCTCTCTTCCCACTTATCAATTAGTTCACTGCATGTGGGCAGCACCACCAAGCCTAGGGTCTTGAAGAGGGACTGTCTGCAGCTGAGGTGATTTGTGAAGGGGCTGGCACGTGAAGGCTGTCTGCCTACGACACTCCCATCAGCAGAGGTATCAAGTCCTCCACTGAAGTGGTATCTGAGTGGGCAGCACAGTGTCCACCACAGATTCCAACTCCATATTTTAAAGAAGTGGAAACTTGGGGACAGAAAGTAATCAGTGAGTTACAAATCTCAGTCTAAACCCCAGAATTTATCACTTGCTGCTTCTTACTACTTCTAACCAAGAAAAAAATGCTATGATCCCTATTTTGGAAAGAATGTGCAAGGAAATTATTTACTTGGTTTAAGGAATTTTCTGGAATGGGATGAACAAAAGCAAAGTGTCCAGACAATTCTAGCTAAGATTTTACAGAGAAGACTAAATCCTCAAATTCATCACTATTGTGAAGAGCATCATATGTCAAATGTAATACACCAAAGTGTTTTCGTATTTTCTGTATGGCTTTATGTATGCTCTGCAGGATATTCTGTTTGTGTTCCCTACATTCATGTTACCAACATATATTTATGCCTCTCTTTTCTAGGTCTTCATTGGGTCTCAACAGGAAAAATATTAAATTGTTAATAATCAGGGCTGGTACCAACTAGATGAGCACACTGCAATTAGCAGCCTGACTAACCTCCCTGCTTCTTCATTTTCTAATTTTATTTGCAAGCAGTTAGATATGATATAATAATTTCCCATTTAAAATGCTATGGATAGGAATGGGAATATAAGTGTTTTGTCTATGTACAGGAGTTCTGTTTTTCTAGCACACTTCCCTGCCTAGCCTGGACTCCAGCCACACTGACCTTTCTGTTCTGTATTCTTGCCATGCTCCTTTCCACACTTGTCTCCCCACCCTCAAGTCATCACACGGCTGACTCCTTTTCCACTCCCAGCTGCTGGCATTAAGGTCGTCTCCTCAGAGGTCCACATAATCTAAAGTAATCCTTCCCTGACTAAGCCAAACTTATTTTATATTAACTTATTATCTTGGTAACACAATTACCTCAGATCATCTTGCTTATACATTTATCTGTTATTCATTACTGTATCCCTAGTACATTGATTAGTGCCTGGCATTTACATATACAGCAATTATGCATTTGAAAGAATGAATGCTGGCAATGAGTAAATATTTACAATTTATATGATTTTAAATACACATCAGAAACACAATAATTACAAAATTACATATCTGGAGGGAAAATCAATTCATTCTATATTTTTGAATAATTTTGAAAAAAAGAAGGAACTGCTACTCTGTGTCCTAATACCACAATTTGTATTAAATAAACTCTAAGATGTCTATCTATCTGAGCCTTCCTAAAGGGCACAATGATGCACGAAAGAATGCTTTTGTTTTCCACAAATACTGTAATTTTTGAGGTAACAAAAATACATTGGACCATGTGTGAGACAGTCTTCTGAATAAAACACTGTAAGAAAAAAATGTTGAGGCCAGGCATGGTGGCTCACATCTGTAATCCCAGCACTTTGGGAGGCCGAGGCACAGGCGGATAACTGGAGGTCAGGAGTTCGAGACCAGCCTGGCCAACATGGTGAAACCCTGTCTCTACTAAAAAAACTATAAAAATTAGCTGGGCAGGTGGTGCACACCTGTAATCCCAGCTACTCAGGAGGCTGAGGCAGGAGAATCACTCAAACCTGGGAGGTGGAGGTTGCAGTAAGCCAATACCGCACCATCGCACTCCAGCCTGGGTGACAGAGCACAACTCTGTCTCAAATTTAAAAAAAGGAAAGAAAGAAGGAAAAGGAAAGAAAAGAAAAGAAAAGAAAAGAAAGAAAGAAAGAGAAAGAGAGAAAGAAAGGTTGAAAACATTCTTAAGAGCAACTTCCCAATTTCACTTTAAAAACAAGCCTATAATGAAGAAAGTCTGTATAAGAGAGACAAACAAAAACAAGTCATAAATTAGGTCACTAGATTTACAATAATATTTTTGCAAGAAGCTTTTATAATTTTTGGCTAGCATTTAAGCTAGGAATATAAAATGTCCCAGGAGATTCACTGAACTCAGGAATTCATCTTCTGACAGGGTCAAATGGAATGTCCTTTATGATCCTGGCTGAATATTTATCCTCACACTCAAGTATGGATCATTCCATTTATCTAAGTCTATGCTTTTAATGAAACACTAAATACTTCATTTTTAATTAAGCAAGGTAATAAATTTTTATTTTAACTACATCTGTTTTAAGTTGTAACTCTATACATGTTCTCTTGTCTGTATTAGGGAAAATTTTTCCCATTTACCTAAAATTCTTTTGAGTCTTCTTTCTGTCAACTCTGTAGTTATTCTAGAAATTGGATTCTTGGTGGAAAATACCATGTTTACTCTACCACACCATTTATTTTTATGAGGCTTTAATTCCATCGTCTCTCAGACATCATCTTTTAGGATCCTGGAAGAATTACTGGGTATAGGAAAGCCTGGTCTAAGAAAGTAGATTTTCTTACAGAGGCCAGAGACACAGTTATAACTGGGATTGATGTCAGCATCATAAAAACACAAGCAGGCAGGACCTCTGTCTTAGTATCTGAAGAACTGATATGACAAAAGAAAGATGTCTTATATATCATGAGGTATACTAGAAATGAGCATAGATAAATCCTAGAATTATTTTTAAAATGCATTTGGCAGGCCAAATTTTATCAATCACTATCTAAAATTAATGTTAGTTTCTCCAAATTATCAAGCAGTTGTACTAGACTATAATGTCACTAATGTGAAAGAATACCTGGAAAAATAAAAATAGACCCTTGAATGTAGGCAAGGTCCTTCAGCGGTAATTTCACACAAACAATAATTCTATGTTGCACAATAGTCAACTGATTTTATGTTACTCACATAGGATACTACATATTGTAATAATTCAGGGGGAAAATCAAACATGATCCTTTACTGTGTCTTATTTATTTATTTATTTATTTATTTATTTATTTATTTATTTAGAGATGGAGTTTCGCTCTTGTTGCCCAGGCTGGAATGCAATGGTGCAATCTCGGCTCACCGCAACCTTCGCCTCCCGGGTTCAAGCGATTCTCCTGCCTCAGCCTCCCGAGTACCTGGGATTACAGGCATGCGCCACCATGCCCGGCTAATTTTGTATGTTTAGTAGAGATGGGGTTTCTCCATGTTGGTTAGTCTGGTCTTGAACTCCCAACCTCAGGTGATCTGCCCGCCTCGGCCTCCCAAAATGCTGGGATTACAGGCGTGAGCCACCGCACCTGGCCTGCCGTGTTTTATACCCATATTTTAGTAACCTCACAAAGTTAAAAATGATTTCCAAATGAAATGTCAGAGAATTGTTTATTTTACCCAGTTATACTGTAATAAGTCCTGGATGGCACTGTGTCTAGCCTCAAGGAAACAGAACAAGTACAAAGCTAAGTTAAAGGCAACTTTATTACAATACTTTTCCAAACTTCAAAATGCATTTATTACTAAATTTAGCTCTAATATATAATACACTATATTACAAGGCAGAAAGCATTTCTGGTCATATATTTAGCTTCCATGTATTGCCCAAAACACAGCTTCCTAGGAATAGCAGCAGTGCACAGTAGTTTACGTCACTAAGTAAAATATTTCTCTGATGTCTCACAATCATTCATATTGTAATTTATTTTATGTTCTTCTGATTAAAAAAAGCAAAGCTATCTTTTCCATATCTTATTAGTTAATACCTAGAAATTGTCTATATTCTAAAAATATCCACTAGAGATATTTCCTTTGATAGGAAATAGGATTTGCAAATCCAACCAAACCAAAGAATACTGTATTTCTCCATTGCAAATAGGGGTAAAATTCTCTTCTTTCCTTTTTCAGGAGCCAAATCTGGACCTCCTCCTCTTCATAGAGCCATCCTGAATAGTACCTACTTTAAAAGATACCTAAATCTACAATGCACGCACTCTTCTTTAATAAAGTCTTTGTTTATTCTTGCCTCCTTATATTTACTTATTTAGAATAATTTACAATCAACTTTGAATGTAACATAATAATGAACTTAAAAAGTAATCTTGGGAGATGTTAATAATATAAAGAAAGTATTTTCCAAATTAGACAAGGACTTTATTTGCTCATTATCCTCTGCTTCAACCAACCAACTAACCAAATTCAACTTATGAAAATAATTCGTTTTCCAAGATTACTACCCTAATCACAACAAAAACAGATACAAATCCACAAATAGATCTAGTCCCTTAATTTTCTATTTTTTTTTTTTTTTGGTTTTACATTTGTGAGCTACCAACTAGCACAAAACATGTTCATCTTCCTTTTCTCACAACAATAGGAAATTGTTAGAAAAGTATAGAAAAAGTTCTATTTTTTCATAAGGCAAATTTAATACAGATTTTGCTATGAAGTTGAAAAAAAAAAAGTAAATGAAAAGGTATGTGCTGGCTGCTTGGGGGGCAAGGCTCATAAATCACTGTACGTTAAGAGCACGTGCTGAAACTTCATGGTGCCAGTCACGTAATTTTGTGTATTTGGGACTAAAGACGTGAAGGGGTATCTTTTCCCTGTGGAAATACAAAAAAAAAAAAAAAAAAAGAGTGATAGAAGAGTCATAAGAAATAGAAGGAAAAAGGTTCTAGACTAATTCCATCATGCAGAAAACATGCCTTATAAAAGCTTAATTTCACATAGCTGTTTTATTAAGTGGCAAAAATTTTAAGGGTAGAGCATTTTTAGAAATATAGCAATTAATCCACAGATCCCTCTTGGAAACATACATTTTTATGTTCAAAATAAAGTGACTGCAAGACAACACACGAGCTCATTCACAGACATATGTATTGTTAGCAAAGCACCCCGAAATATACCCTTCTGCCCACTTCTTATTTCAATACTAGGGAAAACAAGCCTTAAAATCCAGACAATATCTACTACTTTTAAAATCTGCAAGTTGTACATTTAGGTCACACAAAAGGCACCAAAGTTAAATGCTTAGCTTCTAGCTGCAAAGACGAAATGCCATACCATTATACTTGACAATTTGAAAAACTAAATTGAGACCATTCGTGAAAGGAAAACATTCAATTGTCAAAAAGATAGAGAACTTACTTTGCCTTCTTTGTATTATCGGCTTCAGATTCTTTCACTGAAATATAATAAGCAATATCCAATATTAGTTTGTTTTGTTTAACTTCAAAATCACTTAAGCAATTACCTGCACCAATCAATATCAAATGTTCAACTTCCATGGAGCCACTAAAACGAATTCCATAGTAGCCTGTTATTGGCCATAAACTATAGTTAGTACAACTACTATTACATCTATACTTTTCAATGTTACTCTCCTGGGCTGGTGTTTTATTTATTTATTTATTTATTTATTTTTGAGACAGAGCCCCTCCATCACCCAGGCTGGAGTACAGTGGCGTGATCTCAGCTCACTGCAATCTCTGCCTCCCCGGTTCAAATGATTCTCCTGCCTCAGGCTCCCAAGTAGCTGGGATTACAGGTGGCTTCCACGATGCCCAGATAATTTTTGTATTTTTAGTAAAGGCGGGGTTTCACCATGTTGGCTAGTCTGGTCTCGAACTCATGACCTCATGATCTGCCTGCCTCGGCCTCCCAAAGCGCTGGGATTACAGGCGTGAGCCACTGTGCCCGGCCTGGGGTCTTATTTATATTACCCATGTTATGCACAGCATAATTTAAAAGCAAACTGTCTCGGGGTTGTTTTCTGACAACTACCAATCAGTCTCAATGCCACTCTCTGGGGCAAAAAAACATTCATCCATTAGGATACCTAGAAGTTCACTTACAATGTTCAGTCCCAGTGATCTGGGCAAGGATTCGGAAAGAGCGAGACTGAGTTGTTCCAGTCCTTGGACGCCAGTCTTCAGTATCCTCAATCAGTCTCTTCTTGCTGGCATCACTGTGAGTGGGTACATGATAAAACTCTGTATAGCGCTCCACAATGTGTTTTCTTGGTGGGCTAGGGTTAAGGAGAAAAAAAAAATTAAAAATTGTAAAGTTATATTAAAAGGATAAAATATCTTCTACTAAATTATTTATAATTTATATGATTAATCTTCAATATTCCTTTTATATAAACAGTTTGCTTTGCAAGTATATTCGGTCTCAAGTTTTTAAAAGATCTATCTAAAATAGGCGGGGCACGGTGGCTCACGCCTGTAATCCCAGCACTTTGGGAGGCTGAGGTGGGCGGATCATGAGGTCAGGAGATTGAGACCATCCTGGCTAACACAGTGAAACTCCGTCTCTGCTAAAAATACAAAAAATTAGCTGGGAATGGTGGCACGTGCCTGTAGTCCCAGCTACTGGGGAGGCTGACGCAGGAGAATCGCTTGAACCTGGGATGTGGAGGTTGCAGTGAGCCAAGATCGCACCACTGCACTCCAGCCTGGGCAACAGAGCGAGACTCTGTTTCACAAAAAAACAAAACAAAAAAACCTTTTAAATTATAAGTAAAAAACTGCACTTATAATGTTAATATAAAATAATGCTATTAGAATGTATTCAACAGAAAGATTACCGTTTAGGTGGGATTTTCCTTTTAATTGACAGAGGAAGGCAGCAGAAGAAAGATTTCCAACATGAAGAAAAAGGAAAGGAAAATGATAAGAAAAAAAGAAAACAACTAGAAAATGAAAGTCCATAGTAGTCAAAATCAAACTTCTTGAAATTATTTGTATTGTTCACTGTATGCCATACGAAACACAGATGCGGACAATATTCACAACGGCCATTAATATCAATATGCTGCTAGAATGTATTGGCTTTCACGAAATTAAATGATCAAATCTTCACTAGGCCCAGGAACCAAGTATGGTTTAGTAGAGGCTAAACTAGCAATTCCGAATACAATTTTGAAAAGGGTCCGAACTATTATTTCTACAGTTTTCTCATTCATATGTACAGGTATTCCTTCTCCTAAAGAAAGCTGTGTGTGGGATCAGCATAGTGAAGAAGAGGTATGGCATTATTAGCAACTACTGAAATATATATTAACAGATCAGAATTTAAAGCTTGGCTCTAAGACTCTTTAGAAAGTCAGTCTCTTGAATATCACATACAAGGTAGTGCTGTTCTAAGGATGTGTAAACTACAGAGTTCAAGAACTTTGAGTTTGCTAAGAACATTCATTTTTATTTCAAAAGGGCATAAATACAAAGGAATTTGCAATGTATATTTTAATACTATGATATATTGAGCATCATGAATAGTCTCCACTTCTCCCCCCTCAAAACAGGGCAAATGCAAATTTTTGGAGGCTATGAGTTTAATTTCAAAAGAGAAAAAGGAACATGAATCTGGACTAGCAGACTACTGGCACAAGATACGAGTACAGAAAGTGTTATAAATGTGGTCAGATGTGAGTGGCAACACCTGCCAGGTTCAACTCACTGTGAGAAAATCATAGTGCTATCCGCAGGCCACACGACTGTCATCATTTTAACAGTTACATAACCAAAACTGTCTCAGCACACTGGAAAAGCTTTTCCCCAGTGAAGAACAGGATAGAATTACAGTTAGTAACACTGGCTTTAAAATCAGATTCAGTGTGTGCTTTATGCAAGTCATTTCTCTAAGCTCAATTTCCTCATCTGAGAAATAAGACTTGCATCTTAAAGGGTTATTTAAGAACAAATAAGATAGATAATGTATGTAAAGTGCTTTCTGCAGTACATAACATGAGGTAATGATCATCATAATGTATTCTTTTATGATTACTAGAAAATCAACTGTAATACATGTTCTACGACTATGAATAATCTGCATATACAAAATAACAAATCAGTAACATTTATGCAAAAAATCATAAAAAATACTATAACTTATGGTAATATGGTAATATCATGATTCCACAAGTAAAACATCTAAAAGACCTTCCACTAATATTGAACAAAACCTAGTTCTTTTAAAAATGAACAAAATGTTTTAAAATTAAGAAATAAGCATACATTTCTTCATAAACACACTGCCTTTGGCAGCCATAAAACAGACAACTCTTTATCTTATGCAAGTCCTTGAAAAATTTTATATTGAGCTACTAAACTTATTATAGTTTTAAATTTCTCTACAAGTATTGAGTGTAGTTTGCTCTTAAATGATGCCAATTTCAAGTGTAAGACTATTTTATCCTCTATAAAAGGTTTGGTGTCTAAAAACAAAACAATGGTGTCAAGCTAAGATATCACGAATAATAGAATGACACTACCTAAGTAGTATTTTTAGTTATGACACACTTGTAAAAAGTACACTACCCCTTAGATTCTTTGTGTTGTTTACCACACCTTAAGGTCTTATGTCAAATGATATAAAGTTTCTAAACATTTAGTGTTTTCTGGTTCTGAAACTCCAGAGTGTGATGACCATGATGAAAGAAAAGAAAAATTTCAATAATTTTATTTTAAAAAATGCATTTGGGATATAATGTAAACTTTACTCTCAGGAGCAAGTAATTTATTTCAAAATACAGACATTAAAATAATAATAATAATAAGCTAAAGGAAAGCCCAAACTACAGTTCTAACTCTGGTATACACTGTCCATAATACTCATCTATATCTCAATGAAGGTTAACTTACTAAGTTTTTCATTACAGAAGTGTGGGTGTTCTAAACATACCTCTGATGCATACAAAATTATCTAGCATAAAAAAAAATGCTTCTTATGCTCCTTAACATTTTTGAAAATTCTTATAATGAGAAAATCCTAACAAAATTTGCTGGTAGTATTAAATTGAAAGCAAGAAGGAAAGTTACAGAGACAATTACAAAGTGAATCATTGGTTAAGTACTTACACAGTGCCAGGGTTACTGAGGGAAGAATAACACACACAAAAAAAGATGCGATAGAGTAGAGAAGACATTGATGTTCCCCGGAAGATGAACAACAGACAAAGAGGGGAGAAAAGAAGAAAAAGAAAAGACAATGAAATAAAATTCAAAACAATGATTTTCAGTGAAGATGTTACACAAACATCATGCTTCAAAATAATTATGTAAACACAGACCAAAAAATGAACAAATGTTAGTAAAAATTCTACTACACTGTTATAATCAAGACAACAGTTTTGTTCCCCCATCCCACAAAACACTGAAAACTATTTTATGTATTAATGCTAATTCAAGTATCAAGTGACTGAAAGATCCACTATTTTTTAAAAGGACAAGGTTTTATAAAAATCATTTAAACATGAATCCAAATTCTTATTATGTTCTTAACAAAGGACAGAAAGCAATCAGATGTAAAATGTAGAAATAGATCATTTTAGAATCACTTAAAATCAGAAGAGAATAAGAGAAAAATCTTTCAGTCTCACATAACAGAAGTATATATTAATAGCAAGTACAATTTCTCACATGAATTATCCTGAATCATATGTTATAAAAGAATAATATGCCATTTGAAATTTTTCTTGTTTCTTAGTAGCGA
This sequence comes from Homo sapiens, assembly GCF_000001405.40. Taxonomy (NCBI): domain Eukaryota; kingdom Metazoa; phylum Chordata; class Mammalia; order Primates; family Hominidae; genus Homo; species Homo sapiens. The sequence continues at coordinate 94,582,097 of NC_000004.12, read as the reverse complement.
CTATGATGAAAAATGTAGGAAGCACAGTGGATCATAAATAATGAGCTATCACTCAATTTTCTTACTCTCTCCTGTCCCTCATTAATACCACCCTCATTCACAAGCAAGTTCCAGTAACTTCAGAAGTGATTTGTGGGAATTCCATAGCTCTGTATTATCAGTGATATAATTATTGCCCAGAAGGCGTGTCTGATAAGACATGGTAAAGGAACTAAGTTAGTGACACCTGAAGTGGAAGAACCTCAAAACATAATTCATTCACATAGCCTATTAAGTGCAGAATCATTAACAACACATTCATATTACAGTAGGGATAGAAAAGACTAAAGTATAAACTGTATAGTTTGCCAAAGAACACACTGTAGCATTATTCAATTCTGCAATGATGTTTAGTCAGAGTAAGTAACAATTCATTATAAACATAGTAAGAAAAACTGCCTACCAGTTTTAACGCTAAGACTGGTCAGTGTTGCTATATTTCCACATGTCAAAATCAGTTTCATAAACTCAGAGGGTTGAGTTACACTGAGTGAGGGTGAGATGCAGGATTAAGTTGATCTCAATAGTTTGCTTGTATTTACTCTTCTGCAGCCACAAATGCACAGCATTCTCTCCTCTGCCTTGTTATTTTAAGTAGCAGGGAAATAGTTTTGCAAAATAACCTCATCCTGAACAGAGTTGAGTTTTAGATGTATATTTAAACATTTTAAAGTTTAGGAAAAATGTTTTATATTAATATGAAGTTAAATGGGGGCAAATGTTCAATGGTGTGGTGGAGCGGCAGCAAGTGGAGGGTTGACTGATTTCAACCTAAAGGTAACAATTTGAGTATGTCAAATAAATATTTTTACATATTTTAGAAAATGTGCCCAAATGGAATAGTCCATCATACACAGCAGTGGTAAATGTGCTAACATGATAGCCAGGTGATCTGGTTTCTCATACTGGCTGTGCTGCCCACTTTCCCCCATGCCCTGGGCAAACTGCAATCTACAGAAGCCTCATTTTCCTCAACAGTGAAATCAATGACAATTTCTCTGTCTTTCAGACTTCCTCTAAGGGTTTATGTTTAGCATATTTGAAGGCACTTTGAAAACTACACAAATACAGGTTTATTGTTGGAATAGATTCCCCAACCGCTCAAAATAAAAAAGGGAATATCTAACCTAATTGTAATATATGCACATCAATTGATTCACATAGCTTCAATTCAATTCTATAATCATTAAGAATAAATATTAATTCAAAGCCATAGAAATAAGCCCAAGTCACAAGCAGATGATATAGGGAAAGGCACATCAAAATTTGGCTTCAAAAGACCTAGGCTCAAATCTTAGCTCTATTAATTATAAGATGTGTGACTTGAGAAAGGTATGTAATCTCTTGGCATGAGAGTTTAAAGACTCAAATCACATAATGCATTTAGAAACACCTAGAACAATGCATAGTAATACCTAACAGATTAATGAATCTTAATCTTGAATTAAAAAAAAATTCTATCTAACCTAAATGTTTATTTTTCCAAACGCCATTCTCCCCCTTTACAAGTCTAACATTTTTACACTGGAATCTAGTAAATAGCCTAAGTCTCCGTCCAGAAAAATTTAACTTTAAATGGACAAAACATAAAACAGGGTTTGGGGATGTTTACACTGGTATGCAATATTCCTATATATAAAAAACATAAAACTGTTCAATTAGGGAGACCACAACTACATCGGAATGAAGTTGCTCTGATAATTCAGTAGTTAATTCTCTTGGATGTGTCCCAAGACAGATACTTCGAATTTCCAATACGACTTTATGGTGTGATGCCAAAAAAACTTTTAGTACACGTTCAGAATAACCATAAGCTAATTAATAAAATTATTTTAAGTTCTTATCTAATGTGATTTTTGCCTGTTTTTAAAGCTAGTAATCGTGAGCCAGTGTAGTGTCAATACCAATGGAACACAAAAGTGAGGTTTGAAAGTTATACCACAGTGATTCCCAACATCTACACCAATGGTGACATTTAATCAGTTGGTATTTATCTCTCTTAACAAATTTCAAAGATGTGTGGACTTTCTATTATCCACTGACACACAACTGTACATATAGAGGTCTGAACCTGCCAGCAACATTGAATTAAAACTCTAGAAAAATCATAAAGGTTCTTAAGAGACTTTACCATCAGCTTTTGACACTGATTTGGACATCAACTCAGTTTTACATGTTATTCACTAGTGGTATAAATGTTTATGCTTTCTCTTCTATCTTTGTGTTCTACCAGTCTTGACTGATATAAATTACATTTTCCCAAGCACTGCTTCTTTTAAACCAATACATAGTAAAACCCACATACATTTTATGACTTATGTTAAACACTACTATTTATTACTATAAAACAATTCACCACAACATAGCAATGCAAACCAAGCTTACTGAAAATACTAAATGTGGTTATTCTAAATTACAGCTCTTTTGCAAAATTTAACTTAATTTTGCAAAAATCAGGCATTCATGCTGTTTACTCATATATAAATCACCATATTTCCTCTCCAGTAATGTGGATACTAACTTTGTCACTTGTGTTTTCTGCAAAGAGAAAAGTATTTTAAAATATTACTACCACATCATTTTTTTTTAATCTTCCAAGGCCAGGTTCTTCAAAGTATCACACAGGAGCTGTTAGAAGAAATTTCAGTCCAACAAAATTAAAATTATTATAAGATACTAAAAGACTTACCTCTTGAAAGCAGTGGCACATTATAATGCAAGGATATATGGAAAGGGAAAAGGTAAATCACTTAAACTACTTGATGCAAAACAGCAATCCTTCCAGTTTGAAATATAAAGTCCCATTTGGCTCTTAGTAGAGTAAGGAGAGTAGTAAAGAAAACAGCCAGCTATGACCAATAATTTGTACATACAGAAGAAAGATTTAAATTTTCTTAACATGCCTTAATCCTTACTCATAAGAAGGAACAGGAATGCTTACAGACTATTAATTTAAAATATTCTAAAAATATCGACGTTATGTACAGATTTCATGCTATTAGGATGAACAGCTAATTATTTCTTAGTAATGATGCTTCATTAATAAGCATCTGTTTATGTCTGTTTATCAATGCTATATAAATTTGCGTGGAATAGCTATCAAACTAGCTTAAAAACTAAAAACTAATAGTCCTCCTGGTGCTTTCAGGAAAAAGACAACCTAAGCATTTAACTTTACATCCTTCTGAACTCTTAAATTTTTGGTCATTGGTATGTATTATTTTTTAAATTAAAAAATAACTAATATAAATATAAGGTAACAACTCTCAACTTTAAAAGAGTTTTGTTGTAGGTATTTTGCAACATTATAAAAATCTGGGAAATATAATAGTAACAAGTTTGACACTGATTCCAGAAAAAGTTTGACAACTTATGCAAAAAATGCATCCATTAATAGCACAAAACACCTACTCTTCAAAATGACACATCACTGACTAGTAAAGTGTGTAATTTATTTTTATTTCTCAGTCTAAATATCGTGAATGAAAGGGCGCTACCAATGTGTCTCAGAGTTTCACAGACAACACACTTTATTTTCAGAGTAATCAAGTTTTTATTGTCCTAATATCTAGACACTTGAAATCAAGCTATTTTTAAATACACCCAGTTTGCAAATGCAAAGCAGTAACTTGCCTGAAAATGATGCAAAATATGTAGTAATCTCTTTTCTCCTGAATTTTGCACAGTGCTGGACAGCAGGCATGTGCTTAATAAACACTGCCAATTGATTAAGAAGCCATCATAAAGGCTCTATAATACTGCCTAGTTTCAGTTTAAAAATAATAAGCTTTAAATCATTTCAAGTTTTATCACCAAAGCTGTGCTTATAAAACACAAAACTTAAGCTTGGTATTTTCAGATGTTTTAAATGCAGTACTTTTCCATAACCTGTTTGCTTTTACCTCTACAACTTTCTATTAAGAAGAGTTGGCCGGGCGCGGTGGCTCACGCCTGTAATCCCAGCACTTTGGGAGGCCGAGGCGGGCGGATCACGAGGTCAGGAGATCGAGACCATCCCGGCTAAAACGGTGAAACCCCGTCTCTACTAAAAATACAAAAAATTAGCCGGGCGTAGTGGCGGGCGCCTGTAGTCCCAGCTACTTGGGAGGCTGAGGCAGGAGAATGGCGTGAACCCGGGAGGCGGAGCTTGCAGTGAGCCGAGATCCCGCCACTGCACTCCAGCCTGGGCGACAGAGCGAGACTCCGTCTCAAAAAAAAAAAAAAAAAAAAAAAAAAAGAAGAGTTTTTTATGAGATTTCAAGAAGCACTAGTAGAAAAGATTTTAGTTAAGACACTTCCTTCAATGGATGTTTTTCTACTGAACTTGGAATTTAATAAACATGGTAAACTTCTGTTTTAGTCTTCTGTGTGGCTTGCATTTGACAGACAGCATCTTTCTTTGCAGGATATCTACTCTGATTACTCGAAAATCTATTGTCTTAAAATAAACATACTAAAAAAAAAAAAAAAAAAAAAAGATTACGACCAAACACTCCTGAACACTCCATACTGTTTCTCTTCCTCACATGAAAGAAACAATAACATTCTTTTTTGAAGGATACTAGTTTTCCTCAATATATATATATATATATCAGAACTTTAGAAAGCCACCCACAACCTCAAGACCGTATGTACAGCCCAGGAGCTGTTCTTCTAGAGCTCCTGCTCTCCCTCTCTCAGCAGCAGCCTGGAGTTTTGCCACCTTCTCTTTCAAAGCCCCAAAGTTGCCATGGCAGCAGTGCTACAGAAAGCACAGCCTCTTCATTACAGGAATTAACATTCAGAAGGGATTATCTCAGAGAATGGACCTATCCACACAAGTATTTTAATTATATTTTCCTGGGAACTGGCATTGGTAAAAACCATCAGGCCTGTAGACTATTTCCCTTTGTCTTCCTTTTAAGGTACATTTTTGTCACAATAAATCTGATAAAAATGATTTTACATAAATGACTGCCTTAAAGTATCATCCCTGAATTCCAAAAGCAATAAAATGACCATCATTATTCTCTCTCTTTTCTTTACTTTTTTCTTTGCAAGTAGGATTACATTATAGAAAAGAATTATTTTTAAAAAAGATACTGTACATAACCTCTCACGGCCAACTTAAATCCTTGCTCCTCAACATAAATTTCTGACTATCTGATAACATTATATTTGAACCGAAAGTGTTAAAAAAAAATAAACAAATAATTGAAGGTTGCTGAAAAACAGATGTGTGATCTTATAACTATGTGTAGTTCAAATAAGTTAATAACTTCAACCAATTTTTTTAATAAAAAGATACCCCCAAAAGGGAAAAACGATAAGAAACAGATTTTCAAAGTGTTCTGCTAACATGTATGTTTAGTGTCCAATGGCTTAAATTTACTCATTTCAGAAAACGTTTACAATGAAAGTATTTTATAATTTGCTTCTAATGCTTTCTAAGCGTGCCTTGTTGTTTCATTACTGTCTGCTTTTAAAGAATAAATTCTAACTTAAACTTATCTGAAAACAATGTTGTTAGCTCTCTGCTCTAAGCTAATGCTTCACATATAGACATGAGTCAAAAGCGGACTGGTTTTCCTAAGATTACCTCCTAGAAAAAAAACCCCTTACAAATTCATGATTTCCCCTCTCCTTACGATGAGTTGTGTAAGGTGACAGCAACTGTAACCACTGTTTGAACTTTTGGTGGCCTATTTAAAAGAATGAAAAAATTGAGGAAGAAAGATTCAAGATTTGCCTTGCATTACAAGTGCCAGCTGCTCAATGCTGTGTCGGGACTTACAAAAAATGAGTTACAGAGATGTTACATGGTTCAGAACATGTCAAAATGCACAAGTAGCTTTTGAATAAGTGATAATTGCTTTGCAGAAAGTACCCTATGTATATAAAGGCCATATGTTAATGAGGCAAATAATACTTCATCTCCCTTCCTTCAAAGAAAGTTGGTTTTGGGGGAGAGGAATGTAGAGTATTTCCTGGAAATTACCTGAAAGAAGAGTTTTAGTAAGAGCAGAAAGCACCTTAGCCACCTACCCATTTTGCTGTTTACTGTCACCCTGGGATCCTCTTCTCTGTCCCTCTGCTAGCTCCTGAGAAGTCTCGGAACACACGCTGGTGACTGTGGGCTGCCGTGGGACATTAACTGCAGTTTTACCAGCGCTCAGTGCAGATGGAGACTGGTCAGCACTAAGATTGGCATTAGCATGCAGTCCAGATGCAGCGAACAGGGGAGGAGTGACGGCAGCCACGGGTGAAGGGGAAGCATGTGATGAGGTGGTCGCATGGGCTGGGGTGAAGGCAGACGATGGTGATGGGATGGATGTGACTTTTGGTGAAGACACAGAACCAAAAGGCCGTGGTGCCTTATTGTAGGCCATGTTGTTTGTGGAAGTGACTTTGGACACAGCAGGAGATGTAATGGGCACAGGTTTAACTACTTCTTTAGGTTCTCCCTATGTAAAACAAAAATAAACATACACAAAACCACACCAAACACATGCAAAATATATTTCACCGAAAAGAACACAGAGCTGATTTTTTAAAAGACAAACACAATCAGGTTAGCAGCTCAAACATCATGTTTCCAGATAAAAACAATGGGCTGATAAAGCATAACGTGCATGCTAACTAGTCCCAACATGCATAACACAGATGCACACATTAGGTATAATTTTTAAAAATAAAAATGAAAGTAGTTTCAAAATATTTCGGAAATACAGCAGGAAAACTATCAGAAAGCCTAAAGCCCCTCATCAGTGTCAACCTAGGCATATTCCAAAGGAAAAATGTTTAAATACCCTACAATAAACAAAACATTGCTAACTGAGGTGTTTTTTATGTTAAAATATCCAAAGCCCATCTTTCCATCTTTCAAAGCCCATAGTCCCATTTTTCAAACATGTTTCATTTCTCTCCAGAGTGGAATCATTTGTTTCACGCAGAAGGAGCAGCACATTTCTAACTCTTTAAGTTTAAAAAAACAAAAAACACAGGGAATAAGATAATTTTCACCTAACTCAGGAATGTGCAAACTCTAATTAATAATCTTAAAGAATTTGAAAAAAAAAAAAAAACTTTAAAAAAGCAAATAAAACAAAATCCTTTCTTTCTTGTAATCCACCTCCATTTCTCTCTCTGAATGTTTTAAGATATGATTCAGAGATAGAATAAAATTCTTTTCCTTTTCCAAAATAAATATTTAATAGTTACATGAAGAAAAAAAAATCTTCAATATTTCCCCATCGTCAGCAGCCAAAGAAAAAACAACTAGTAAGAAAGGTCAATTCCTCCTAAAATTACCAGAATTTTTATTTGCCAATCCTTATTCCAAAGCATATTTAAAGTTAAACAAAATCAGACTAAGCTTCTACAACATTCAAGAATAAATCCCAGGAGGCGGGATAGCTCAGAGGTAGAGCGTTAGACTTCAGATCAAGAATAAATCCCTATTCCACCCTACCATATCAAAAGAAAAAATCAAATTTTTGAAAAATCATACAATGGTGGTTCTACTGTTTAATTTTAAGAAAAAAGGTAATCTCAATTCATCTTGTTTTTTTTTTTTTTTTTGAGACAGGAGTCTTGCTCTGTCACTGAGGCTGGAGTGCAGTGGTGTGATCTCAGCTCACTGTAACCTCCACTTCCCGGGTTCAAGTGATTCTCCCACCTCAGCCTCCTGGCTAGCTGGGACTACAGATGCGTGACACCATGCCCAGCTAATTTTTGTATTTTCAATAGAGATGAAGTATCACCATGTTGGCCAGGCTGGTCTCAAACTTCTGACCTCAGGTGATCCGCCTGCCTCGGCCTCCCAAAAAGATGGGATTACAGGCGTGACCCACCGCGCGCAGCCTCAATTCATCTTATAGGAAGAAGAAAACTAATTGAGAAAAATAAGTAGCTTAGTGCCCACACGAATCAATACAGGTTGAGTATCCCTTATTTAGACAGCTTGGGACCAGAAGCATTCAGATTTCAGATATTCTCAGATTTTTGAATCTTTGTAGAATGCAGGAGCATCCCTAATCCAAGAATCCAAAATCTGAAATGCTGCAATGGTCATGTGAGCATGTCAGTGTTCAGAAAGTTTGGGATTTTGGAGCATTTTGGATTTTCTAATTAGGGATGCTCAATCTGTATAATAAGTAGTTCAATAAATAGGCACAGATAAAATTAGGGAGAAAGCCCCCAAAAGCATAAAACAGATATATATGAATAATGGTTTGAAATTATTTTGAAGACATATATGCAAGAAGAGGGATACTTGCCAATAACCTAAGAATACTCTGAAATGTAATTAAGCACTTATTAATAAAATGTTATTAAAGACTTATTGTGATATTAATTTTCAGTAACCACTTATTTATTCTCTTTAGAAAATATAAGGATTTGGATAAAGATGGGCTCATCAAAAGTGAATAGAAATGTAAGAAATCTGACATAAGTTATTGTAACATATGGCTTTGGAAATAATGTTTTATAACATGTATAATTACAAATGGTATGTGCTGATCTCCATTTCCCTACTCATCTCTGAAGGAAAAGAACTACAAGGAAAATTGTACTGAGACTATAAATTAAATGAATGTCAGTATGGTCTGAGACAGTAATGGGAATTACAGTAGCTCAGCAAGGACAATCAAGTGATACTCTGGGTGCTAGCTTAAAAACACACCTTTTGAACAGGAACCGGCTCAGGCTTGGGTGCAGCAGATGCTCTGAGGAAAAAAAGAAAGAAAAAGAAAAAAAAAATAATGAATTTTTATAAACTTGCAGACTTCTTAATGGAATTTTTACTATTATAATATAGCCTTAATATACTGAATCACTGGAATGTATCGTTTCATAATTCATAGTTTTTACTATTCACAATCTTCTAATTCATTCATGTAAGTCAAATGCTGCAAGATTCAACATTTTACACACTAGGTATTCAATAGCAGTCTCTGGTTCTCTACAAATTCAGCTGAGGAATGACAAACATCAATCCTGTTTGTGAGTGCACCCGTGTTTAATCGTTAAGGATACCCCCCACCTAAAAGGGTAAAGTATAATAAACATGACCTTCTGATCTTTGAGTGGCTCCTCAACCACCTAATCTGACTCCTATCTCCAACAGTATCTGTCTTTTCTCCTAACATCCATGAACAACATCCACAGGATATTGGGTCTCTGTGAAGATGCTGAATACATTCTAGTTGAATTGGGTCAATGAATGAATATTTATTCTGTATTCCTATTCTTAAGTGTCTATGCAAGTTAATACATTTAATTTGCTAAAAGTAAACTGTAGGTCCTTCTACTAGACTATAATTTCAGAGAAGGCAATGACCATGCCCCATCTGTGTCTGTATCAGCACAGTGTCTGGAATGTAACAGGTCATCAGTAATAAGTGTGGAAAAGAGAGAGTGAAGAAAAAGACAAAAATCCATGTATATAACTTGACTATTTCCAAATTCAAATTAATTTTCATTTTAAATATATGTTTTTTGTACTATGTTATTATTGTGCCTTTAGTTAGCATGGGCTCAACAGTAACAATAATTGGTTTGGAGCAATTATCTCATATAATCTTAATCATATCCAAGTAAAACCTATGGTTATCCTAATTTTTCAGAGAAGAAACTTCAAAAGAAGTGTAGGTAAATTGCTTAAGATGGAGCTGAGGCCCACCACTGTTAAATATAACAATATACTGTTTGTATTCATGGACAGGAACTAAATGACTGGGAAAGCCTCTAATGTTTTAAAGCCTATTTACTTAGTGTTAAGGTATATGTTATGTTTAATATGCCAGTAGCAATTTGATTCCACTCATATCACACTAGCTGGAGGATAACACACCAAGCACAGAATTCAAGAAATGTAAGCATAGCAGGTAAATACTAAGTGATGATCATTTTAAGCTATAAACCATGAGCTTGTTTTACTTTAAAGACAACAGATCACAAACAGAAGACACTAGCACAGGATATTCGGTCTCTATGAGTATAATCTAATAATGAACTCTGATCAACATTTTTAGCAGCAACTGAATTTTCCAAAAACAGTTAATTTGGTTAGCTATGGCAAGCACTGAGAATTGGCTAACCTAATGAGAGGTAGCAATGGATGTTAATATTCAGTTACTGCAATACAGATTACACTCTGTGCAGTTGCACAACCTTCTATGTGTACTATTTAATAGACAACTTCTCTTTTAGCTTGTAGGGTTATTATAATGAGCAAAGGAAACAAGTTCAAGTAAAGAACAGTGGATTCCAGTGAATAAGGAAACCTATTTCTCAAAATTAGAATTGTTGTAATTGTCTTCCTTTTCTTTCGACAAATATTGAGCATCTTTTACTTTAACAATGTCATAGATTACATAAAAACAATAATTTTTAAAGGATGTTTAAAAAATTGAGGTATAATTACGAAAAAAATTCTTCCTACATTTTCTCTTCAAATCCTGGCAAATATACAATGGGATAACAGATCCCCTTTGAACTGCAGTGATCATCACAAGTCACTTTTGTGTAGTGTGAGTTTCAAACCAGCAGAGAGAGATCTTGGCAACGGCTTTGTGCTATGGGGTCAACAATTTTCTTATTGTTCACCCTCCTTGGTGTGAAGCCACTGTTCAGGAGTAAGCCACGACGGTGATATACCAGTGCCTCAGCCCAGTAGTATCCTCAGTTCATGAAATTCAAAGAACAAAGCCATCAATGTGGCTAGAACAATCTATTTGAAGTTGATTGACTTTTGTAAAAGTAGTATCCAAAATAAAAATCCCTGATGCATTATAACCAGTTTCAGAACCTCTACCTGAACAGTTGAAAGGAGTTTTAAGTGATAACTGACTATGTTAAAAACTAAAATTGTGATGTACCGGTTAGAATAATGTATAGGAAAAATTATGCCACAAATAAACAGCAGTCTTATCAAGAATTAGATGCAAATGAATCAAGCTAAACTGCATCTTTTGAATACCCAATGCAGTGTTATACTTAAGGTATATTTTTAACTAATTAATGTAGTTTCCTAAAACTGCTTTATAAAATAACATGGTTTTTAGTTAATAAGGTTCTGAATGTTCGCATTAGTGTTTAAGAATGAGGAACTAGACAATAGAACTAGAATGATAAAGATTATGCACATTACTCATTATGTCTTGGTGACTCCCTCAAGCATCTAATATACTTAACTCGTAAACAATCACACAGAAAAAAAGGAGGGTGTTTGCCTCATCTTCTATGAGATGAGCTCTTGTCTAAGTTTCCCACAGCATGGCCATCTTTGGATCCACTGACCTTGGGACCCATAAACACTAGGGTACATCATTAATCACTTTAATTGCAAAGTTGTCAATCTGTAATAACAAAGCAACTCTAGAAGGAAAAAAGTGAGCACTCAAGAGTGCAGAAGGATGTCTTTCTAAACAGTTTCCTCACACTTTATTGCATATTCAGCTAGTCTACTGTTCCAAATACTCAAACCTTAAACATTTAAATCACTATGGCAATGTATTAGGTTTTTCTAAATGGTTTGAGATTATGTAAAGATTCTATTTCCTATAAACAAAAGTACAAAATAGTTATATATCAGCATATTATAACAGTTTGTGGCTTATAAAAGACTGTACTCTTCACATACACATGCACTCACTCACACACTCACTCCTTTTCTCCCTCTTTGCATCTTCTCTATCTTACTATAGGAACTAATACGTACATCTTTTTTTCCTACAGAGAGAAAGAAATAACCCAAAGCTGGTCAGGCTTTTTGAAGAGTCAAAGAAAGAAGGAAAAAAGACAAAAGCAGCAGAATTGCTTTAGCCCATGTGAGTACCAGTGGCCCTCTGTGCCTGTGCTTGATTTTAAATTTGAGTGTGGCTCTGATATATATCCAGAACAGGCAGTTACCATTTGATAATTATAATACTTCTCTAAGCATATCTAATTATAATATATCTAATTATAATACTTCTTTAAGAATTATAATTATAATAATTCTGTAAGTAGGGTGAGTGCTTTTGTTGCAATAATCCTTTTCAGGTGGCCATGAAGGTTTATTAGGGTTTGAGAAGAAATTTTCATCAACCAGATAAAAGTCAAGCCAGAGAACCAATGGATGGAAGAAAGGAAGAAAATAAGAGGGTATTAGGGCAGAGCGTGAGTGATATCACCCCAATTTGTTATTTTAAAGTTCAAATGATTAATACTTAAATACCTGAAAATCACTAAGAAAGAAAGCATTTTGTCAAGTAGCAAGCAATTCAAGCAAATTTAAATTTAAGTAGCATAAGTGGAAACAAAGACTAACAGCTACCTTAAATTTATTCTATGTGCCAGGCACTCAACCGCATATCCATATAACTATATTTTTCATTTATAATAATCTCATGATTTAGGTGTCATTCTCTCATTTTACAGATGAGAAACTCAAATGCAAAGGGGTAAAATTGGACAGGAACGCTGGCTTGTGCCTGTAATCAATCCAGCACTTTGGGAGGCTGAGGTGGGTGGATCACCTGAGGTCAGGAGTTTGAGACCAGCCTGGCCAACATGGTGAAACCCCATCTCTACTAAACATACAAAAATTAGCTGGACGTGGTAGCATGTGCCTGTAGTCTCAGCTACTTAGGAGGCTGAGGCAGGAGAACTGCTTGAACCTGGGAGGCAGAGGTTGCAGTGAGCCGAGATTGTGCCACTGCACTCCAGCAAGACTCTGTCTAAACAAACAAACAAACAAACGAACAAACAAACAAACGAAGGGGTAAAATGACTTTATCAAGTCATTCATCCAGTTTGGAGTGGGAGACTAGTTATCATCCCAAATGTTCTCCAAAGACCTTGCTCTTCAGCACAAATTGTTTGAATTTCTAAAATCAGTGTCAACCCAAGCAAAATGGCTTTCCAGTATCACCCTCTCTTCTAACTCCTCACTGTGGAGGGGGCCATTTTGTGGGAAGGGCACTTATTCCATATAGGTACAGGTCATCTCTAAAGGTAACCACAATCCAAAATTATATAGAATCGTGTCATGGAAGAATAAGAATCAACAAAGATGTCATTTCACTCAACGTGCCAAAAAAAAGAAGTCCAAAACAAAAATTACTGTGGGCACACCCCAAATTGACTTCATCATCTGGTGATATTCCATGTAAATTCATTTGGTCAAAGCCTCAATCTTCTAAAGTATTCCAACAAAGATATAACACTTAACTTGTTATCTCCTTAGGTACATTTATTTTAAAATATTAGTATATGACATATTTTTAAGAATAAGTGTTTTATATATCCTATAATTTATTTGCATACATCTTTCTTAAAACTGTTTTCAAATTATGTGCAAAATTTCACAATATTCTATTTGATTCCAGAGGGAGAAAACTTATTGCTGTAATTCTACATTTATTTCCATAGTAACAGTTTTATGAGGGAAAAAAATTATTTGCCCATTGTGCCTCATGTCCACACTCAAAAATAACTTCAGAATCTTTTAAAGAAAAAAAATCCATTTTTCTAAATAGTATTTATAAAATTTTTATATCAGAAAGAATGAAGAGATTACATAATTTTAGATGTATTCAAGAATAAAAGAAATTTCAAATTTAAGAGTAATTCATTATTACTATGGAAAAAATTTCATTACAGTGAAAATACCATTTCAATAAAGGGTTTCTATAAACAATCTATTCTATATGTCCCACTGTTAAGAAATGGCAAATTTTATTATACAGGGCCAGACAGTAAATATTTTAGTCTTTGTGTGTCAAATGATCTCAACTATTCAGCTCTGTCACTGTAGAAAGACACAGACAAAACCTAAATAAGTGACCATGGTTGTGTTCCAACAAAACTTTAGTAAAAACAAGCGGTGGGCAGGACTTGGCCTGTAAGCCATCATTTGACAGCCTCTAGTTTAGATCATGTTAAGGTGTTTATTATACCAAACGTTCTAGTACGTAATTCTACATGACCATGCCTCTTTTGGTCTCTAAACCTCGTAATCATTCTGCACAATGCAAAGCCCTAATTATAATATGTTCAGATACTGATATAAGAAATGAAAGTGAAACGTATTATTCCTTCTGTGGTTGCAGGACACTACCTTTAAATTCTTCTTATCTCCTCTACCCAAAACTTTTACACTGTTTACAACTGTTTAGGTGATCCATCTGAACTTCCATACCACCCATTCAAATGAAATTCATACCACACAGCACTGATACTGAAGTTTGGTGAAGGGTCAGATTTAATATTATTGGACTAGAATAACATTTTAAGCACTATTTGTAACTCTGCTAGTCAGCACTTCAGTTCATTTGCTAATAAATGATAAAGAGTGCTAAAAACCTCTTTCAGCCCTGCTTCTACATACTATAAATGGAGCTACTAGTAATTATTTTTTTAAAAAATCCTAAAAGAACAAGTGAAAAGGATGCACCCTGCATTTTTATGCAAGGGAAGAGACTGACAAGTATAATTCCCTTCTTTCCCATTATTTTCTACCAAAACTCTATATTTTTTAACAGTCATGAACTATACTATCTTTAGGAATGAAAAAAAAAAAAATCAATCTGTACTAGAATTGCATTCTCTGAAAACTTACTAAGGTCCAATGGTAAGTAATTACTTCTACTTGATAGATTTTCTCTTCCAACTTCAATCAGGTAGATAAAAAATATATTTTTATCAACACAGTACTTCATTACTAATATAAAAGTAATAAAACTTGCAAAGCAAATAATCTGCCTGTGAAAAATTAAGAGTCTACATTTTATTGGCTCTTTTGTGACACTACTAAAATGCCCTTAAAACAAATACAGTTGGGAGGCCAAGGTGGGCAGATCACGAGGTCAGGAGATCGAGATCATCCTGGCTAACACGGTGAAACCCCGTCTCTACTAAAAATACAAAAAAATTAGCCAGGTGTGGTGGCGGGCGCCTGTAGTCCCAGCTACTCGGGAGGCTGAAGCAGGAGAACAGCGTGAACCGGGAGGCGGAGCTTGCAGTGAGCCGAGGTTGTGCCACTGCACTCCAGCCTGGGCGACAGAGCGAGACTCCGTCTCATAAAACAAACAAAGAAACAAACAAAAACCACCAAATATAGTTAAGATTCATATTAGGAGAATAAGCATCAATAACAGAACCATATTCAAAATTCTTTTTCACAGGCTTTAAACAATGTATATAAAATTAACTGCTTCCGGAAAACTTTCATAAAGGTCAGATGCTGAATGAGGGTCATATACAGGATAATAGTAGTATCAGCAAGCACAATTCATAATCTGAAGTTTGACTATTTATTTTTTTCTTCCTTTCAAGAAAAGCTTAGAGCCCTAAAGAGACAGAGTTCCCGCCTTTCATATTCAGGCCTTCTCTTACGAAGCTCTTTGTTGATACAGGAATTCTTTGAGGAATAGAACAAATAGCTGAATAAAGGTTGCATTAGGCAACATATAGTTTCTTTGTTGACATGAGGGTCATAATACCTCCCTTGCAGAACTGTTTTGAGGACGCAATGAGGTAATGTATGTAACATATCTGGTGGAGTGCTTGACACAAAGTAAGCAGTGATAGAAGGCACCTTCCCCGTAAGCAGATGACCTAAACTCTGGAGTTCTGGAAATTATTCTATTTCTGATTATATACTATTAGAATCAAATTACTAACAGGATCAATTTCAAGGAAAACAGTAACAACAAAAAAACCTAGAGATAAGCAAGAAAATATCACTTAATGAGTACCTACCAAATGCCAATAATTTCACTTGACCCATCATATAAATTATCTCATTTATTCTTCCTGACAAAGTAGTATGTTCTCATTTTAAATATAGGAAACAGAAGCCCAAATAGGCTAATTTGACCAAAACTTAAATTTGAAAGTGGCAGAAGCCGGATTAGAACCCAAGTGGTCCAGAAGCCTATATGCAGCCCTAACATTCTACCTTCTGGCTGCCTTCTGGAATAACATCAAAGAGAAAGTTATAAAATAACTTTGGTAAAGAATTTCAGAGAGTAATGGCTCCAAACAATGAATAACTACTTTCTATTAACAAACAGCTATTCATTTTCAATGACATGTTTATAGAATGCCATTTTTGGTTTAATTCAAGTAAACACAGAAGTTACTCATTGTATATAATATATACATATATGTCTATGTGTATTCAATATATACAGATACATAATATATCTGCCTATCTATAGAGTGAACACTTTACAGACTGTACAATATGCACATAAATAAGAGATTAAGTTCTTCACAAAATTCCCAGTGAAAGTTCAGTAAGTAGATGCAAAAACAAAGAACAGGTTTCAGTCCATTGTTCTTTACTTTTCCAGAAAAGAGGAGTATTTTTTCCCTATACTAACAGGAAATCTCTAATAATTTCATTTTTCAGCAGGATGGGGTTGGAGGTTCCTTAGTGAATACCTTCTCTGGTGCTAAATTGGGTGTTCTATTTAAAATAGTAACCAGCTTCTGACATTAGTAGTCATGCAGATCCCAAGATACCACATCACATAATCTTCTTGTGGGTCTTGAGAAAATAAAGGAAGTGGCATCATGGTCCCCATTACAACTATCGATGGTGACATGCTACCAATAACAGAATGAATTAGATTTCAGGACTGATGTGTGCCCCATGATACAGGGGGCTGCATACTGAGCATGCAAGATTGACAGAAATAACTACGATGGTTCCTTCTAATTTTGTTTTGACTACACATTCATATAACTGCATATATACCTAATCACTGAATAATACATTTTTTATCGTGTTCAGCTCTTTTTGAATCAGCCTGTATTTTTATAAACATACAAACAAACACCCTTATATTATAGTCAAAATCTAGCTCCTGTCAACCTGTTTATCCTGTAAGGATTAATATGGCCTTCTGCATTACCAGAAATTATTTAACCAATCAACTTATCATTCCCAACTGGTAATTATTTTACCCAGCATCACTTCAAGTTCAAGGGCAACACTCATGCTGTGTCTTTTCCTTAAAACAATTTATTTCATTAATTTATTAATTAGTTCCACAAATATTTATTAAACCCATGATACAGAAGGCTCTGTTGTAGGAGGTGGGGCAATGGTAATGAATAAAACAGACGGGCTGGGCGTGGCGGCTCATGCCTGTAATCCCAGCACTTTGGGAGGCCGAGGCGGGCGGATCACGAGGTCAGGAGATCAAGACCATCCTGGCTAACACGGTGAAACCCCGTCTCTACTAAAAATACAAAAAAATTAGCTGGGCGTGGTGGCACTCACCTGTAGTCCTAGCTACCTGGGAGGCTGAGGCAGGAGAATCGCTTGAACCCAGGAGGTGGAGGTTGCAGTGAGCTGAGATGGCCCTACTGCACTCCAGCCTGGGAGACAAAGCAAGACTCTGTCAAAAAAA
Source organism: Homo sapiens (assembly GCF_000001405.40). NCBI lineage: Eukaryota > Metazoa > Chordata > Mammalia > Primates > Hominidae > Homo > Homo sapiens. Next base: position 94,564,668 of record NC_000004.12, on the reverse strand, counting down.
AAAAAAAAAAAAGAGACAAAATTCCTCCTTTGAAGGTGCTTACATCCATTTGAGAGAGGCAGACTAACAAGCAAAATATTTCACATGGTAGTAAGTGCCATGGAGCATAATAAAGCAAGACACAGGAAAGGACACACTATTTTATACAAAAGGGTCAGAGAAGGCCTCTCTAATGAGGTGAACTCTGAACAGAAACCTGAAGTACGGAATTCCTGGCAGTCCAAATAGCAAGTGCAAAGTCCTGAGGCAGGAATGTACCAGTGGGGCTAGAAAGGTTCCAGGAAAAGCTGGGGAAAGCAGTGAGAGATAAAGCTGCAGAGATGGCTGGGGGCAGAACACATAAAGTACATGAACCCATTACAAGGAATTGGTCTTTTATTCTGAGTGAGATAGAAAAGTATTTCTAAGGCCGGGCACGATGGCTCATGCTTGTAATCCCAGCACTTTGGGAGGCCAAGGGGGGTGGATCACAAGGTCAGGAGATCTAGACCACCCTGGCCAACATGGTGAAACCCTGTCTCTATTAAGAATACAAAAATTAGCCAGGTGTGGTGGCGCACGCCTGTAGTCCCAGCTACCCAGGAGGCTGAGGCAGGAGAATCGCTTGAACCTGGGAGGTGGAGGCTGTAGTAAGCCGAGACTGCACCTCTGCATTTCAGCCTGGGAGACAGAGTAAGACTCTGTCTCAAAACAGAAAAAAAAAAAAAAAAGAAAGAAAGAAAAAAAAAAAAGAAAAATTGCTAAATGCAGTACTTCATTTTGGAAGAAGATTAAATCCAAATCTCAGTGTTAAGCAATAAATGATCTGTACAAGCCTACTTACTAAAAGAAAGGAAGAGAGAAGGAATAAAAACTGCCCCAAATCTTAAATATATTGTGATGAACAAAACACAAATAGAAAACAACAAAATATCTAATTTGTCTTTCATCTTTTCAAAGTATGAGACATGCTATTTGAGGTTCACCTTTATATGCACCCTGTCCTATGCTAATACCAGAGGCACATCTCTTTTTCTATTCCTGTCCAGGCTAAACGTGTTAAATTGCAAACCTTTTTTGTAAAGTGAGTATTTTAAAGTATTTCAATAAAATTTAAGGGGATAAGTATTCCAGCATTCAACACAGCCTTATTAGGAAAACAAAGTCAGTCTGCTATCTTCTGTGTAGAACACATGAAATGAAGATTCTTCACAATCTCAACTTAGCTTTTTCCAGTTACGTAACACTTAAAAAATAACTTTGGGTGAGTTTAGATATTTTTAAAAATCTGGAGTTATTCATAAGAATCAAGGAATTTAAAAATTAGTGATCAAATGTGGCTACTTTAGCCATACATAGGCCAAGTCTATCCTTGTTTAATAACTTCAAGATGAGCCTTTAATTTCACATTCATTAATAAGTAGAATCTTGTCCAACATCCTTATCACTAAATCTCATATTATTAAATTAAGTCAAGGCATTCAAAGTGATAATAATATCTACATCTAAAAATAGGAACTTAAAAGCCAGCTAAATTTTCAAATATTTATTTTTACAACTTCTTATATTATTTGTGATTTATCTCACATTTATACCATCACAGAACTGAAACTCATTCAACTGTTTATTAATAATCTTTATTTTTGTTTATAGAAAACTGAATTTTGCTTATAATAGAAGACTTGTTTATATTACTGATTGATAATTTAATGGATTTTGTTGAAAATTTAAGCAAATTAGAATCCCAAAGCTCTTCAGTATTAAAGTATTAGTATCTTTTTTTCTAACAAGGGAACCATAGAAAACATAAATTATATTCTTCTTCTTCTGATACCTTTTCTATGTTACAGTTTAAAAAACTGAAACCACAGCCAATTAGCAACACATTATGTCTAATTTACCAAAAGGTAAGCTTCTTAAATTCCCAAGAGAATTAATGCACCCTCTCTCCACCACTCTTTGAATCTAATAGATTAAGAAATGACCTAAAATGCTGCTGAACATACACAAGTCACAACGTATGTTACTCACATCATGGAATCTCAACACCCAAACTGGACTATACTTGTTCAATGGGACAAATCCACTAAACAAAAACCTTGAGAACTGTGGCAATGTGAAATTGCTACAAAAGTTCCTAAATGCTTATTCTCAATTTCAGTGCTTATCTCCCTACAGACCAGGAACAAACAGTTTAGACTGGTACCAGTCCAGGACCCACAGATTAAATAGCACTGACCTGGAAAACTGTTTTCACACTTTTATCACAGTGGGTATCAGAAATACATTTTGTATCATTATCTACCTAATACAAGTATGAAGCAATAACATACATATTTTCCTGTGGAACCTATTAAAATATATTATTTTTATTTGCAAAACAAAAACAAACTAGCTTGGGGGAAAGGATGCTGGTCTTGACCCAAAAAAACTGAATATATAAGCCTCAGTTTGATAAACACCAACCTTGACTCAAAGGTGGAGCTCTCAGAAAGGTCTGGAGGCCTGATAGGCCACATAATAAACAAGATGACTGGTTAATAGGGGTCACAAACAAATGTCCACTGAATTGCAGTGAAAAAGCCCATTCATAAAATACTATTAAACTATTTTAACTTTTAAAAAATTCTGCACGCAATGATATCCTCAAAGACATAAAATAAGCAGATCTACCAACAACACAATTAACACAGAGCTCTGGCTAGTACATGTCTGCAAAGCTCACTGCCACCAAATTTGCTTCTGACATAATCAAAATTACTAAGAAGAACAGAAATGCTGACCATGATTATGCTGACCATGGATTACTATATGTGTTGTTCCAACAATAACATCCTGTAGCAAGTGCTTATAAAACTGAACTAGACAAGAGAGATTTCCCCTCTTTGGTGATGACTAAAAATGTGAAGAAGCCAGACACTGATGCCTATCTCTTAAGATAAATAATCTGAAAAGTATTAGATTCCTTGGTGGGAGAAAAACATAACCTCTAATCTGAGTCTTCCTTACTTTGGCTCCAAGGATCCCCTAAAAGACTGCCAGAGAATGAGAATAGGAGATCCTGTCATATTAATTTCCTCTTTTATTAGAGTCACAGAAAGATCTGAGACCTTGCAAAGGATAACAACCAGTGCATAGAAAAAAACACATGTTCCATGCTGTGATCTTTAAAAAACTACGATAAACGAAAAAGCACGCATATAACTCTAGCATCGAAGTTACTGACTCCTCTCAAGATAATGATCCGTTTCTCCCAGAACTATTTTGTAACTCTTTTGGCTGCTTTTCTAAAATGTTCTTGCTGAATACTGATGGTGAGTTTTTAATTCAAAAAACTTGCCCTTAATTAGCATTGTCTAACTGGAATAAGCTGTATCACTGTATCAGGGATTCTTGAGGAAGGGAAGGATCAATTGGCCCACAAGATCTCTTCAAGCTCAAGGGAACTTGAATAATACCACTATCACACAGCCTGTATCATGCAGTGTTCTTCCTCATTCCGAAAATCTGTCTATATTAGCTAATTATTTTATTTTTCTCAGGAGTATACTATTTGTAACGAGGTGGAAGGAACTCAGAACAGACTGCCAAATAAACCCGACACTAATACTGACTTCAAAGACAAGCAACTCATAGGTACATTTTTTAAAAATCATCTAAGTTGGCTGGGCGCGGTGGCTCAAGCCTGTAATCCCAGCACTTTGGGAGGCCGAGGCGGGCGGATCATGAGGTCAGGAGATCAAGACCATCCTGGCTAACACGATGTAAACCCTGTCTCTACTAAAAACACAGAAAATTAGCTGGGCGTGGTGGCGGGCGACTGTAGTCCCAGCTACTCAGGAGGCTGAGGCAGGAGAATGGCGTGAACCCGGGAGGTGGAGCATGCAGTAAGCCAAGATTGTACCACCACACCCAGCCTGGGCAACAGCAAGACTTCGTCTCAAAACAAAACAAAACAAAACAAACATCTAAGTCTTAGCCTGGTTAATTTGATAAGTATAACACAGCCTCAAAAATGTCCAGTATTCCAGAGCTAAAAGCAGACTGCCCAGATTCTAACCCTAGCACCTCCATTTACTAGTTGTTCAACCTGGGACAAGTTACTTAACCTCTCAGTTTCCTTGCCTGTAAGATGGGAACAGTAATAACAAGGGATTTATAAGGTAATAACAATAAGGTACTCAGGACACTAAACCTAATATTGTTTTGTGAAAGCTACCTCACCAGACTTATTCCAGAAAATGTCAGTTATTGGCTGCCATAATAATGGGAGAGTATGGGAATAATGAGAAATGAAATAATTCAGGTCCAAATTATCCATAATATATAAAATCACCGCTAAGTTCCTAGAGTGAAACTAAAGTCCACCTGTCTTCTAAACAGTCTTCTCAATTAGCAACAATCCAGGTCTTGGTGGCAGCTACATTAGTTTCTGTAAAGTTCAATCAAAGAGAAAGCAGTTACATGTTCAATCACCAAGGTGAACTCAATGACTCCTTTTCTGAATTCCCCCCAGGCCCTTCACTGAATCCTAGGTACAAGGACAACAACTAGGCTCACCATGACCTAGAATTACATGCATTTGTCCCCAAAGGCAATGTTTAGGGGACAGTGTGGACCTTGGATGCTTCTAAACCACCACAATGATTGGCAATGGAGTCCACATAGATAAGAAACAGTCACGGGCTGGCCAGAGAAGAAGCTTTGCTCCTAATCCCCACAAAGAAATCCAACATATTAAAATTTTCTCTACAAGTGCTTCCAACTATTAAGTTCTATGAATAAAAACAGTTAAGATGACACAAATAGCCAATGCCAAAAACATGTATATTACTGTGTATCCAACATGTTTCTTCCTTTTTCATTTGCATCAATGGTTATAACCCAAAGGCCCAGTCATAATGGCAATAAAATACAATAATTGTAGAACAGAGTAGCAGCTGCATTCATAGACCACACCCAAGGCTGTGGGTGAGCTGCATACCACAATTAATGTTGAGATCCATATTTGAGGAAAATTGAACTTGCATTATAATCTTTGTTCCAGTTTCGACATGCACAACATCTAAGAGTTTGGCTTTCAACCATGGCCTTGTTTTCAGCCGTCTGTCACATAAAATTTCAATTTAGCATCTTACTGATCTTCTGTTTTCTAGGGAAACCTACCCCAAAGCAAACACTGGCATATGCTGATGCTTTAGTGTTCCAATGAAAACAAGATGTAGCATGATTCACTGCTCTTCTTGTTGAATCTCTGCCTTACGTGAGTTCTAAAGAGATCAGCAGTTAAATGTGCTAGAATATTGATGAGTATGGCTAGAAGAAGACAGAGCTATAGAAGAAATGTTTGGCAACAGAGCAGCCTTGTAAAAATAGCACTAGATAGAAGGTCTGGTTCATATAATTACAACTTTCCATCTCAGAGCCACCAAAAACATCTGTTATAACCTAGATACTTGCTGTAGCCTATGTTCAATAAAATTGGATACTAAGAAACTAGTTTCCGAAATTTGACAAAATTCTCAGAAAATGCTTGAGAAATCAAAGAATCATAATAATATCTTTTTTATTTTTTCAGGTTTCATGATAGAAAACAGTAAGTTGGTCGATGTGAAACTAATCACAATTTCTTACTAGGCTAATCAAAATCCTTATCCTATATTTTCCTTAGTTTACCAAAAATAATGAGCATAAAAACCTACTCAACTTAAATTTATGACTGCTATAACTGAAATGCTTTAGACAAAAAAAAATTATCATAACTACTTTTAAAGGTAACCCAACACATGGTTTTATTAAAAACATTTAAGATCATCTACTTACATAACTTAGTTATGATTAAATTTTTTACTAACCCCCCTCCCTGCAACACACACACAAAAGAGATCATGACAGTTCATTTTACAGAAAAATGGAATAGGGAACTGATTTATTATTTCAGCTAGAATAAAAAAAAAAGCAACAAGAAAAACCAGAAAGCCGACATTTTTATCCCCCAACAATGTTAGTATTATAATCCTTAGTCATACTTGAATATAATTCAAGGTTCAGTATATAAAACAAATAAAAGCAAAGCTTCTTTGGTTGAAGTACAAGTATAGGCAGAAAACTCAGAATGTACTCTACTGGGCTGCTGTAACACCACCTTAGGATACCTCAAGACAGACTTTAATATAGTTGAACACTCATATGTAGACAGGAAAATGGAAATTCAGCAAGAATAGGTTGACTACTATTTTATTGCCCATTCTACCACAATTAAATGCTAGCCTTTTTTATCTATGCCTTGGTCTGCTCATTTGAGAGATGGCTATAATAATTTCCACTTCACCATTACAAAGAGACAGCACAATATCAAGAAAATAAAGAACAGCATGAATTTTACTTACAGCCAAGCAAGACGTAGGTCTCAATACCATCTTAACAACAATAAACTTGCCCAAGTTGATGCAAGGCTGGTTCAACATACGCAAATCAATAAACGTAATCCAGCATATAAACAGAACCAAAGACAAAAACCACAAGATTATCTCAACAGATGCAGAAAAGGCTTTTGACAAAATTCAACAGCCCTTGATGCTAAAAACTCTCAATAAATTAGGCACTGATGGGACGTATCTCAAAATAATAAGAGCTACTTATGACAAACTCACAGCCAATATCATACTGAATGGGCAAAAACTGGAAGCATTCCCTTTGAAAACTGGCACAAGACAGGGATGCCCCCTTTCACCACTCCTATTCAACATAGTGTTGGAAGTTCTGGCCAGGGCAATCAGGCAGGAGAAAGAAATAAAGGGTATTCAATTAGGAAAAGAGGAAGTCAAATTGTCCCTGTTTGCAGATGACATGATTGCATATCTAGAAAACTCCATCGTCTCAGCCCAAAATCTCCTTAAGCTGATAAGCAACTTCAGCAAAGTCTCAGGATACAAAACCAATGTACAAAAACCACAAGCATTCTTATACACCAATAACAGACAAACAGAGAGCCAAATTATGAGTGAACTCCCATTCACAATTGCTCCAAAGAGAATAAAATACCTAGGAATCCAACTTACAAGGAATGTGAAGGACCTCTTCAAGCAGAACTACAAACCACTGCTCAATGAAATAAAAGAAGACACAAACAAATGGAAGAACATTCCATGCTCATGGATAGGAAGAATCAATATCGTGAAAATGGCCATACTGCCCAAGGTAATTTATAGATTCAATGCCATCCCCATCCAACTACCACTGACTTTCTTCACAGAATTGGAAAAAACTACTTTAAAGTTCATATGGAGCCAAAAAACAGCCCACATTGCCAAGTCAATCCTAAGCAAAAAGAACAAAGCTGGAGGCATCACACTACCTGACTTCAAACTATACTACAAGGCTATAGTAACCAAAACAGCATGGTACTGGTACCAAAACAGAGATATAGACCAATGGAACAGAACAGAGCCCTCAGAAATAATACCACACATCTACAACCATCTGATCTTTGACAAACATGACAAAAACAAGAAATGGGGAAAGGATTCTCTATTTAATAAACAGTGCTGGGAAAACTGGCTAGCCATATGGAGAAAGCTGAAACTGGATCCCTTCCTTACATCTTATACGAAAATTAATTCAAGATGGATTAAAGACTTAAATGTTAGACCTACAACCATAAAAACCCTAGAAGAAACCCTAGGCAATACCATTCAGGACACAGGCATGGGCAAGGACTTCCTGACGAAAACACCAAAAGCAATGGCAACAAAAGCCAAAATTGACAAATGGGATCTAATTAAACTAAAGAGCTCCTGCACAGCAAAAGAAACTACCATCAGAGTGAACAGGCAACCTACAGAATGGGAGAAAATTTTTGCAATCTACTCATCTGACAAAGGGCTAATATCCAGAATCTACAAAGAACTCAAACAAATTTACAAGAAAAAAACAAACAACCCCATCAAAAAGTGGGTGAAGGATATGAGCAGACATGTTCCAAAATAAGACATTTACGCAGCCAACAGACACATGAAAAAATGCCCATCATCACTGCCATCAGAGAAATGTAAATCAAAACCACAATGAGATATCATCTCACACCAATTAGAATGGTGATCATTAAAAAGTCAGGAAACAACAGGTGCTAGAGAGGATGGGGAGAAACAGGAACACTTTTACACTGTTGGTGGGACTGTAAACTAGTTCAACCATTGTGGAAGACAGTGTGGCAATTCCTCAAGGATCTAGAACTAAAAATACCATTTGACCCAGCCATCCCATTACTGGGTATATAACCAAAGGATTATAAATCATGCTGCTATAAAGACACATGCACACCTATGTTTATTGCGGCACTATTCACAATAGCAAAGACTTGGAACCAACCCAAATGTCCATCAATGATAGGCTAGATTAAGAAAATGTGGCACATATACACCATGGAACACTATGCAGTCATAAAAAAGGATGAGCTCATGTCCTTTGTAGGGACATTGATGAAGCTGGAAACCATCATTCTCAGCAAACTATCGCAAGGACAAAAAACCAAACACTGCATGTTCTCACTCATAGGTGGGAATTTAACCATGAGAACACATGGACACAGGAAGGGGAACATCACACACCGGGGCCTGTTGTGGGGTGGGGGGAGGCGGGAGGGATAGCATTAGGAGATATACCTAATGTAAATGACGAGTTAATGGGTGCAGCACACCAACATGGCACATGTATACATATGTAACAAACCTGAATGTTGTGCACATGTACCTTAGAACTTAAAGTATAATAAAAATATATATATAAATAAAAATAAAAATAAATAAATAAACTTGCCCAAGTTAATTAACTTCCCTAAATTAGTTTCCTCATCTATAAAGAGGTTAATACCACCTACCTCACAGGGTTATTCCCAAGATTAAATGAAGAAATCTATGAAAATTATCTTACCCTATACCTATACCTTGTAGTTAGTAAAATAACATAGAATTGGCACACGATATCCATGTATTTACCATATGAATCTTTTCAATGTTACAATCATTATATGGTACTTTCATGGGGAAATTCATTATTAACAATTTATCTCACTATTCTGGCACTTCAGTGGTGGCTGAAATAAAAGATTTAAATGAAAAAGGTTATAAACTAAAGTTAAAAGCACAAGGATTCTTCACACTAATACTCAATTCTACTAGATGACAAATCTATAATGAAATAACATTTGACAAATTTACATACATTGCAGAATAAGTTTTTCTCCATGTATATACAGATGCTCCTAGACTAATGATGGGGTTATGTCCCAGTAAACCCATATTCAATTGGAAATATCATAAGTAAAAAATGCATTTAGGCCGGTGAGGTGGCTCATGCCTGTAATCCCAGCACTTTGGGAAGCCAAAGCAGGCGGATCACCTGAGGTCAGGAGTTCAAGACTCCTGGCCAACATGGCGGGGAAACCCCATCTCTACTAAAAATATAAAAATTAGCCAGGCATAGTGGTGCGTGCCTGTAATCCCAGCTACTCAAGAGGTTGAGGCGGGAGAATCACTTGAACCCGGGAGGCGGAGGTTGCAGTGAGCAGAGATCACCACCACTGCACTCCAGCTGGGGCAACAGAGTGAGACTCCATCTCAAAAAAAGAAAAATGCATTTAACACACCTAACTTAACAAACATCAAAGCTTAGCTTAGCCTACCTGAAATGTGCTCACATTAGCCTAGAGTTGGGCAAAATCATCTAACAAAAAGCCTATTTTATAAAAAAGTATTGAATATCTCATGTTATTTATTGAATACTGTACTGAAAGTGAAAAACAGAATGGTATCACACCATTGTAAAGTCAAAAATTCATGTCAACCTTTGTAAATTGAGGACCATTCGGTATACACAGATACAGATATATATAGATATAGAATGTATCTGTACACACATTGCAGATACCAAAGGTATTTTGTTATATACTATGACAGCAAACTTTAAAAACAATTGATAAAACCTCTTCACAAATTTGATAATGCTACTCATTCCTTAAAACTGTTCATGCTCTTATATCATATGCATTTGTCAAAATTATAATTACGTGATTGTATACTGAATAGCTCTTTTATTAGCTAGTGTGGCAGTTGCATGGCAGCAGGTACCATTTCTCTCTTGTTCACACCTATCTTCCTGAAGTATGTTTTGAAAGAATGTATAATCTGTGTCTTTATATATATGTATGAACGTATGTACGTACGAATGTATATACATATATAAATGAGTACATATGAAGAGAAAAACGACTAGATGGATATCTATCAAAATATGCTTGTTTTCTCTAAAGGGCAGATGAGTTTCTTTTTTTCTGTATCTTCCAAATGTTTTTCAATATATGTGTAACTGTTTCACAAACAGAAAATAGCTATTAAATATTTTCTTAAAGATAAATGTTTTTAAAAGCTAACAGACAATAAGGAAAACAACAGCATTAGCTTGAAAAGCTACTTAAACTCAAATGATTTCATTGTCTCTGGATGGAAGATGGCCTCAAAAGGGATTACTGCATGTACTCAGGAAAAGGACAATGCAAAGAAAACCAATTTACTAGTTTTAAATAATAAAATGATTAAAATTATATGAAGACAACAAAAGATTATAAAGTCCAACAACAAAAGACAGGATGAATAGCTCGTTCTTGGCAAAGACTTTTATGATATAGTCATTTTTCAAAGACAAATTATCTGTGAAGATAACACTGGAACAGTGTAAATAAATATACTGACAATGTGAAAGAAGAGATTTTTTAAAAATGTATTTCAGAAAATATTTTCACATTTCCCACAAGCTTACCAAATTTATTCATCCTCCAATGACATGGCCATATAATACTCTCTGTGGAAAGCTGAATTTCTTGATACAGAATTTCTTGGTAAGAAATGGATTTCAAACATGCAGGTGGTAAACATAACACATGGAGAGCTCTGTAATCTGGCAAGGAGGGATGAGCTGCAGGATCATTCACACGACACACTAAGGTAATCCACACAGTGAGTGGGGCAGTGGTTCACACACTTCTTTAGGGCCCACAATAACCACAAGTGCTCTTTATGGACCCTGTGGATTCTCTATTGAATTCTGATACACTGGATTCTCCCATAATTTGGCTCAGCACTGAATATTTACATTGCCATAAGAATGAAAAAGTTGAATACGGATTTTTAAAATTTATTGTTAAATAATGATGATACCAAGAAGATGGCAAGAGAAGTACTATCGCAAAAGGAAGTCAGACGCTAATAACTAAAACCGATCATTTGGCTGGGTGCGGTGGCTCACGCCTGTAATCCCAGCACTTTGGGAGACCAAAGCAGGCAGATCACTTGAGGTCAGGAGTTCGAGACCAGCCTGACCAGGATGGCTAAACCCTGTCTCTATTAAAAATGCAAAAATCAGCCGGGCATTCTGGCATGCACCTGTAATCCCAGGTACTCAGGAGGCTGTGGCTGGAGAATTGCTTGAATCTGGGAGGCGGAGATCTTACCACTGCACTCCAGCCTGGGCATCAGAGTGAGACCCCGTCTCAAAATAATAATAATAATAATAAAACTGATAATTTAAAAGTTAGCAGATGGTTAGTATTTAGAAACATAAAGGTAAATACTAGGAGAAGTCATTGGTTGCCTCTGCTAAAAGAGACCAGGTAAGGGGAGGGGCAAAAAAAGAAACGACTGGGGTTTTTCTTGTATTAGTTGACACTATACTTCTAGCTATTCTTCTCCTGCTTCAGATGCACTAATCAACCTAGACTACCAAAGTCACCTTATCTTGCCCTGCCCCTTCTAGAGTTTCTGACCATGTCATAGATGTGCCTGATGTTACCCTGATGTGCATTTTTTTCTGCTACCACCATATAAAATTAGATCACTCTTTTTTAATCAATTTCTACTACTACTATTTTATGAAGCAAAATCTAAGGGGAAAAGATCTTATCCTTCTCTATGATTCTACTTATATTTTTTTCTTATGAAAAATGTCATATTTGGGCTTTATATTTATATATTAGTATACATAATTTTACCGAGAGTAGACTTTGCTATAGAGAGATTTTTATATTTATCTGCACTCAATTGGTCAATGAATTCTCTATTGGGATCATATGCGTAATCAGAAATTAATTTTAATGCAGCCTCTTTGGGGCTTTTAAATATAAAGACAATATTTATAGAGTTGGAATTTAATCTATTTCTTTTTTATTTTAAAAAGACTCTAAATCTCACATATAATCCCTTTCATAATGCAAGCTTTGAAAACAGCTTTTAAGCAATACTTTCATTTTTCCCTTACTTTTTCCAACCACAAGAATGTTGCCCACATTTCTTTAAACAAATCTCTCAGCCATTCAACTTGACAACTTGTAGATATTTTTAAATTATACTAGAGTATATATTACATTGTCAAAAAACAGTTGTCACTAAATGGAATAAAAGACTTAGAAAGGAGATTAAACCTCTCAAGATTCTGAAAATAGTTAACTGTGATGATACATAAAAAATAGCCATCAAAGTCTTTGTTTTACAACTGCAGTAATAAAAACTTGTATATATATCCACAGCTCATCCTAGCTACAAAGTCACACTCTTGGGCATTAGGTAGCTATTGAGAATAGTGATTAAGTAAGCTTCCAAATCATTAGGCACAGTCCAAAATCTTACCTTAGTTTAAGTAAACTTTACTACGTAATATCTTTGCCTAATAATCCGTTCCTCATATACAGGAAAAAAGTCAATCAGTCCTTCTGTAGAGAATGAATAATGTATTTCCTAAAGCCAAAAAAAAGACATTCTTCCACTTCTCCATATCATCTTGGAGAACAATTTACGCTCAACTACACAGGAAAACTATTCTTTCTGAGATGACCTCAGTTGTGACCACTTTTTTCCTTTATGGGTCATATACCAGACACAGTAGCTGGTTAGGTAATCATTATTTTGCCTCAATTTAATTTCTCATGTGTATGCATATTTTAGCATTGCCTGTGTGTCAAGACTTTTTCATGTATTGAAAGAAATACTACTTAGCTGAATAAAAAGTGACTCCTTCTTCCAAAGATCTTCACGTTTATTTGGGGAGATGAAATGAATAAGCAATACAGGGTTGCGGTTAAAAATATGGGCTATGAAGTGAAAAAAACTTGTCTCTAGAATTAAAAATCTTTGACGATGAAACCCAGTAATCTGCTTCAAGCGTTTTAAACTCAATAAAGTTACAGGGTCTTGATTTGGGAGAATTCAAGGGATACCCTTTCATTTACTGCAAACTTATAAATTTATTAAGGTCCAGCTTTAGCACAAGTAATTTATGGGGCTCTTTGCAAACAGAGTTAAATCTAGTAGTTTCAGACTACTAATTTTTCTAACCTTAGCCTTTGGCAGCACTATTGGCATTAAACAGGTATACAATAAGCTAAATTTGTTAAATAATGTTAATAAATAATATCGCTTCACAGAAAATAACTGTGGATTTAACTGAGTTAGAACCAGACTAGCTATAAAACCCTGAGATAGAAATGATCTTTTCTAGCAGAGGCATTACAATGATAATAGTTTCATGTCACCAGTTACACATTAGCTTTATACTGTGATACATAATTGGGTATCCTTTCATCTTGTTCTTCAAAATTTTCTAACCTTTTCTTGGGCCTTTGCCTTTCCTTTTGAATTTTAAATTGGTATGTTAAGTTCAAGCTTTTATTCTTTTTGCTTAGCATTTTTCCTATTCTCTTACTTCTTTCTGTATCTATTTAATTTTATTGCCATACAGACCTCAACCCCAGTTTAGGTGAGTATATTTCAAAGAAAAGTCACATACTATTTTCATGACCTTCTTTCTAGTAATGCTTGTACAAGAAGATGACAAAATTCTATGATAAGTAATTTTCAATATGAAAAATAAAACCATCATTAATTGCAGACATCAGAACTATTCCCTTTTGCTCCTCAAGTATGGATAATTACAGTTGACCACCACAGAATTCCAAAATTGGAGTTTTAGAATTCCAAACTTTTAGAGTTCCAAAATGAGATATTTATGGACTTGCAAGTCATCAAAGCTTAAGTCAATCTGTGGTGTGTCTAACGGGTACTTTGAAGTGTATCAACTAAGCTAAAATGCTACTAGAGATAATACACCAAAGTTATTCTGAGAAGTAATGATAAGCTCTAGCCAAAGCCACACTGTTTGCTTGCATCTTTCAGTGTGTGACAACAGATAGAGCTTAAAATAATTTTACAAGGACAATGGCATTTGCTAAATGCTTGCTACCAAGTCTTTGAAATTTCTCATTTTCTGTTATTCACTTACTCTTTACACATTGGGAAGTAATTGAAAGATTTCTATTAAATAGATAATACATAAATCTTTCAGAAATGTCCTAACTTTGAATCTAAAAAGTGAGAATAAAATGTATTTTATATAGAAAAATAATCCATATGCAATCATAGCTTAAGAGAAGAATATTTAAGACAAGGGAGATGTCTTGAAGCAAACCTTATAAAGTGAGCAAACAACAAAAATGTATTCAGATGACAATTCTACTGAATCATTATATAACTATATATTATTACATTACTATATAATTTCCATATATTTAATATATGTGTTTATGTGTATGCTGGATACTATACCACTGACTTATGTAAGGAACTATATAAAATGAAGCTTTCTATTCTGTAAATCATTATACAAATATGAGGTACTGGTATCGTCATTTTATTGAAGATTTTATACAGAACATAAGCATTTTTTTTTCTTGAGACGGAGTCTTGTTCTGTCACCCAGGCGCGATCTCAGCTCACTGCAACCTCCACCTCCTGGGTTCAAGCGATTCTCCTGCCTCAGCCTCCTGAGTAGCTGGGTAACTCCCGAGTAACTGCTACTGGTAATAAGCCAGTAGAGCCAGGAAGACAAAGGGAAAATATGTTAATTGAGCACAGAATACTTTATCCAAATTGCCCTCTAACATGTGTGTACAGTATCTACAAACGTACACAGATACTACGCACACTGTTTTACACCTTGCTTTTTTAACTCAACTTTTTAAACTTCAGCTTATTTTTATTTGCTCAAAAACTGTTCATAATAATACATATTGTTCCATTATACAGACAGACGAAGATATATTGACTCCATTTCCTGCTGATGAACATTTAGCTTGCTCTTAATGCTTTAATAATTTACTTCAAATATACTTCATTTTACACATTTGTGAGTATATCTATGGGATAAATTTATAGAAATGGAATTGATAGGTCAGAGGGTATAACCATTCCCTTTAGAAGGGAATAACCCTACAGACGTCCTATCGAAGGCCTTTTCTAGGAATACATACAAATAGGCAATCTACAGGAGAATGAGAATGCATACATCGAGACAGAGAAAAAGGGGTACAGAGGTTATTTAGCAACTAACCCTGTACTCCATATAGAACCCCCTCACATATTAAGAATATGACACTTGCAGGCATTATGTCACCCCAGAATGCTGGCACACAAATGAAGGTCAATTAACTCTGCGTATAGTGTCCTTAACTTTAGGACCAAGAGCAAATACACACAAAACTGATGTTTTCTACAAACAAGTATTGGAAACCGAGGAAATAGGAAACAGAGTAACCAATTAAAGCAAAACATGAATTAACAACCTCGTGTAGATCCTGAGTACCTTATAAGGCCTTTTTTTTTTCTTTTAACTTAGCACCTTAGATGGCTTTTTCAACTCAAGAAATATTGCCAAGGCAATGGAAAGCACAGGGTTAGGCAAAACACTTGTGAGTCAGGTATTTATTTATACATATAAGGAAGAAATTGAGACAGAAGAGGAAGAGCATGGCCAGCCACGGGACATCAAATCACCACTGGCAAGGTAACTACATAGCAGAAGTGGTGAGCTGAGAAAGACCAATTTATCTGTGAACTATACTAAGCTTAGAGGGAAGTGGGTGTGCCCTAAAGAAGATTAGATGAATTCCTAACATGTTTTTAAAGTAGAATAATGTGAGTCACTCAGAGGGAGTAAACAGGCACTTTATATCTGATGTCTTTTGGTTCACCCCTTTATTTCCTCTCTTATCTTCCCTTAGAAAAATGTCATGAAAACAATCCAATTCCTTACCTCTTTCTAAATTGAAAATTGGATGTATATGAACTTTCTATGGAATCTACTAAAACATCGGCAATATCTCTCCAATTTCCTGTTGTAGACCTCTAAGAGGGTGAAGCAAAATGAAAGTATTTCATCTAATTCCTATCTTCCTGCTAGTAAATAAATTTATGTTCAGAGTATTTTTTCCTTCTAGTCTTAAAGACTTCTTTATAAAAATGTCAGGACAAATGGATTTCAAAAGTAAAGGCTTAGAGTTTGGAATGAATGTTGGATGGCAATCCATTTGAGTGGTAGGTATGGGCTCTTCTGAATTAAGTAGCCTGGGTTCAAATCCTGAATCAGTTATTGATGAGTAACCTTGTGTAAGTTACTCAAACTTCCATTTCTTTATTAAGAAAACAAAAGTGCTCGAGCACACACAAAAAAGTGTGAAAGAACAGAGTACAGTTGGCATCAAGAAAATCAGGGTAAAATTAAAAGTGTCATAAAAGCACCCTCAATGACTAGATGTTAAGACATATCAACTACGATAATGGTGAGAGACTTGATGATAGATAAGGATGGGAACAGGCCTTTTTTTGGTAAAAAGTAAACAACCAAAAGATTACTTAATAGGACTGTACTTACCAGGAGTGAGAAGAGATGGCAAACACTGACATTTTCTCAACAGTAGTCCTGAATGACTCTGGTATAGAAAATGTCCACAATGTAGGAGTGCAGTCACCTGCATAAAGTACTAGGAAACTACAAGACCAACCAACCAACATGAGAAGAAGTCTAGAAAGGAGTCTGAATATAATTCTGGCAAACAGGTGGTAATAAAATGCATCAGTCAGATCTCCTATCTCACATAATCTACATTGTTACAGTCAGTTCAGTATACATAATTTACCCTTTCAGAAGACAAAATGTGTTAGACAGAATAATGGCTTCCCAAAGATGTCCCTGTCCTAATCCCCAGAACCTATGAATATGTTACATTAACATGCAGAAGGGAATTTAGGGTACCAGATGGAATTAAGGCTGCTAATTAGATGATCTTAAAATAGGAAGATTATCCTAGATTATCCAGTGGGCCTACTGTAATCACAAGGGCCCTCAAATGTGGAAGAGGGAGAAAGAAGAGTCACTGTTAGGATGATATGATGTGAGACAGACCCCTTAGTCACTGTTGCCTTTGAAGACAAAAACAATGCAAGTCAAGGAATGCAGGTAGTCTCCAGAAACTGGAAATCGCAAGAGAAATGATTCTCCCCAAGAATCTTCAGAAAGGAAGGTCGACCCGTTAATTTTAGCCTAGTGAAGCCCATTTCAGACCTGTAACCTCCAAAACTGTAAAATAATAAATTTGGGGGGTTGGGGGTGCAGTTTGGCCACTAAGTTGGTAATTTGTTACAGCAGCAATAGGAAACTAATACACAGGTAAATAATTTTTGGAAAACTTTTATGAAAATGTTATAGTAAGCATTTTTTTAAATTGAGGTATTTGATGTCAATTTACCTAGCAAATTCAGTTATTCAGAATTAACCATGTTCTGGGGTTTCTGGGATAACTGAAGTTTTACCACTAACTTTAGATATATATTTTTTTTTCCTTAAGCCCTAAGATCATTAACAGTTAAGTGTAAAACCTAGATGTTACAATGTTAATTAATATAACCACAAAATAATTCACATGCAATTTCAAATACCTTAAATCCCTTGAATATTCAGGTTGAAAAAGGTGGGGGGGGCCTAATGTCAGAAGGAGTGCTAGGGTTGAACATATTAAGTAAAAATTTTAAGTAATATATATAACACTAACGTTAAAAAATTTAATATCCCTGGTGTTTTTGCACCACTTACCGTAGATTTAGCTTTATATTTTAAAAAATACTTCAAGCTATAGAAGAGGTATTGTGAAAATCAAGAACTCCTATGAATAAAAATATCTTCTATTGATGATAGCAAATTTAATTTGTATTTAATATTAGATAGATAATTAAGCCACATTAAAATATTTCCCTAAAGAGTATTAGGAAAAAGAATCTGTTTGGAACTTCTTGAAAATAATAAATTCCAAAGATTTCCTAATAGCTTTTGTTTGATAACAATTTAAGAAGTGAATGTGAAGAGGAGAAAAAAACTACTTAATATGCTTCTCTAGATAAGTTTACCTTCTTTTTTATACTGTTACTTCCAATGAGCAACTATTCCGCTTGGAAGAGAAGTGAGGTTGTGTGTATATAGATGTGTGGGGCCGGGTGGGGTAAGGTAGGCGGTAAGGTTTAAATGGGATATAGTAAGGAACAAAGCATTTTCTACTCCAGGAGAAATTAATAACCAGGGACAGTACTGACAATGCAATATCATTTGGGTCAGAATATTTTAAAAATCCATCATAACGTTCAGTTCTATGAGGATATCCTCTTCCCAAAGCAAGCATCATAAATGGTCAAAACAAATTTTATATCCATCATTTGTATAATATGCACAAAAGTGGAAAACAAATATTTATAAATACTACTGAACTGAGTTACAACCTCACAGCTTTTTGCATTATATAATCAATAGCTCCACTTAAGACAAATAGAATAGACAATAGTCTAGGAGTTGTTACAAAATGTCATGAAATAAGACATATTTCAAAAAACACTTTTATAAAAATATACTTTTGAAGGCTGCTCAGTTGTCAATGATTTAACAGGACAAGAAAAAACAATATTGGGAAAAAATATCAGGCCATAAGAAATTAGATGAAAAATACATCTAACTACCATGACCTTAACAAATAGGCTTACACAAGTGTGAAATGCACACAACAATAAGAGAACAACTAGACTAGGGCAGTTTGTTTTATTCAGCACCCAGCCATCTCAACAATCATCTACTAAAAAATGACTATAAAAATGAAAGATGATCGTGCTTCCTGTCTAGGAAATATTATTCAAAATTGGAATACAGTGCTCTTAAGAAGAAACAGTGACCTCCAACCTTAAGAATATCTTCTTAGGAAGGGGCTATCAGCCACAAAATGCCAAAAGTACAATAATCTGATGTTGTGATCTGAGCAACATTCTTTCTCATAATTTTTCCATTTTTGGTATGTGTGTCAGGCACTGAGTAAGAGAAATGATCCTTTTTTCCCCCGGAAAAACATACACAAACAATGAAACCACTGTGTGTTGAGAGAGATACCACAAATAGGCAAAGCAAATATTATTTGGGCTTCTAAAAAGATATTATATGAGTACATGGTTAACAAAAGATGCTGACATATTAGAGTTGTAAAAATTTAAAGGAGCAGGCTCCATCATTTGTGATGTAAAAAATGGTTTCAAGAGTTTTATTGCTACATTAGAGTTATAAATAAGCCTGAAGAAAATCACAGACATTCGAACTATATTTTTAAAAATATTTATATGCTTAATTTAGGCAAACTATCAAATTGAGGCTTAACTTTTTAAAGTAAACTAACTACAAAATAGGAATTCCTAACTTATGAGTAAATAAACCTATAGAGTTGAAGTAACTTCCTCATAGCCAGTAAGTGATGAAGTCAGGTTTGAACTCTGATATTTCTGATTGGTCTCATTAACCAGAAAAACAAGCCTATGCTGTTGCCAAAGTAGCCTTTTCTTCTGCTGGATTTAACCATGGCAAGGTATTGCTAATCTTTGCATCAAGAGATTCATCAATAAATCTCATGCACATACTTCCCAAAACAGAGGTTACCTAAGCAGTAGCAAAAGCTGACAAGATATTAGCCGGGCATGGTGGTACATGCCTGTAATTCCAGCTACTCGGGAGGCTGAGGCATGAGAATCACTTGAGCCTGAGAGGCGGAGGTTGTAGTGAGCTGAGATTATGCCACTGCACTCCAGCCTGGGCAGCAGAGTGAGTGAATTCATCCTTAATTAAATAAAGGACTAGATTTCATACAGAGAATGCCTCAAAACAGACCCTCTACAAATCAGAATAAATTAGCATGCCATCACAGTGTGGTGGTGGAGATGCGCAGCTCCTAGTCATAATGCCTGGCCAGTGCCAGCTTCACTGCTTACTCAATGTATCTCTATAAAATTGGGAAAATAAGAATATGTACCGCTCTTGAGCCACTTGCTTGAGCCCACTCCCACACTGTGGAGTGTATTTTTGCTTCAATAAATCTATGCTTTTGTCTTCAAAACACAACAAAAAAGAATATGTACCTATATGGGTGGAATGGTGGCCCCCCAAAGAGATGTGTCCATATCCCAATACCCAGACCATATGAATGTAACCTATTTGGGAAAAGGGTCTTTGCAGATGTAATTAAGTTTAAAATCTTGAGATGGGATCATCCTAGATTATACTCAGGTAGACCCTAAATCCAATGACGAATGTCCTTATAAGAAACAAAAGAGGAGAGGACACAGACAGACTAAGAGGAAGAGACAAGCTGACCAAGGAGGCAGAGACTGGAGTGGTGCAACTGCAAGGAATGCCAAAATGATCACAAGTGTTGGTGAGGATGTGAGGAAAAGGAAACCCTTAGCGTACTGCTAGTGGGAATGTAAACTAGTACAACCATTATGGAAAACTGTGGAGGTTCCTTAAAAAATTAGAAATAGAACTACCATATGATCCGACAATCCCACTCTTGGGTATATATCCAAAGGAAATGAAGTCAGCATACTGAAGAGATATCTGTATTCCCATAATATGGAATCAACCTAAGTGTCCATCAATAAATGCAAGGATAAAGAAAACACACACACACACACACACACACACACACACACACACACACACACACACACACACAGTGGAATACTATTCAGCCTTAAAAATGAGGAAATCCTGTCATTTGTGAAAACATGTATGAACCTGGAGGACATTATGTTAAGTGAAATAAGCCACACACAGACAAATACCGCATGATCTCCTATGTGGAATCTAACAAAGTTGAACTCATAGAGGCACAGAATAGAATGGTGGTCACTGATGGAGGTGGGCTGGGGAGATGTTGGTCAAAGGATATGAAATTTCAGTTAGGTAGGAGGAATAAGTTCAGAAGACATTGTAAAAGATGGTGATTATACTTAACAACAATGTAGTATATTCTTGATAATTGCTGAGAGAATAGATATTAAGTGCTCACACCCCAAAAAATTGGTAAATGTGGGATAATACATATGTTAATTAGCTAGATTTTGCCATCCCATAGTGTATACATATTTCAAAACATTATGTTGTACATGATAAACATATACAACTTTTATTCATAAATTTAAAAAATTAGAAATAATTAAAAAAAAAACTGACAACAGTCACCTGAAGATGGAGGAAGCAAAGAAGGATTCTCCTAGAGGGAATGTGATCCTGCCAGCACCTTGATTTGGGACTTGCCTCCAGAACTGGGAGAGAATAAATTTCTGTTGTTTTAAATCCCCTAGTTTGTGGTAATTTATACAGTAGTCACAGGAAACTAGTATCGTACCCAAAAAGAGTTTTAAAAGGATCTGATAAAACAGTGTAGTATGCAAAGCACCTTCATCCGAGTAATGACTACTAATGAATGAAAATATATGAGGGGCTGACCAGTCTGTCCACTTTTGCATTTTCCCAGGGTGGTAAACATCACATATGTCTTTCCTCCTTGTGAAATGAATTACAAAAATGTATTTAGTGCCCCAGTAAGTATATTTTTTAAATTAGTAATTATAACCATTAAACTTTGTTTTTAGGAAACAATTTTGTTTTAATAATTTTTCTCATTTATTTTACTAATTTAGCTACAGCTAAATTTACCAGGAACCATGGAAAAGTAGCATTCGCTCCTATTAAATAGATGAAATAACAGGAATTAGAGATTACTGGAAGTAGCTGAAATTATAAAAATAGGGTGGATCATTTAATAAAGAAAAAAGATTCATTTTCCAACAAGTGAAATATTGCTTGTGTAGGACAGTATACACTATTGAAGCACAACAATTTCTTCTTCTAACCCAAAGAGACACTTTAGCCACTCGAGCAGTCCATAGAATCTACTGATTAGGAAGAGATCCAAACCTCCTCTTACCTAGAAGGTAAGATGTATCACTGAAACCTTCTCTGCAGGGTTATGGCCTACCAAAAACTAGCAGGCAAATGAGAAAAAAATGTACCCCTTAATAAACATAATAAATGTAATCTCCCTTTAAGGCCCAATATACAGACTTCCATCTTGTGTTGGAGAGCAAAGAGGGACCACTTACTTACTTACTTACTTTATTTATTTATTTATTTATTTATTTGACAGTTTCACTCTATCCCCCAGGCTGGAGTGCAATGGCATGATCTCGGCTCACTGCAACCTCTGCCTCCCAGGTTCAAGCAATTCTCATGCCTCAGCCTCCCAAGTAGCTGGGATTACAGATGTGTGCCACTACACCTGGCTAATTTTTGTATTTTTAGTAGAGACGGAGTTTCACCATGTTGGCCAAGCTGGTCTCAAACTCCTGACCTCAGGTGATCTGCCCACCTCAGCCTTCCAAAGTGCTGGGATTACACGCATGAGCCACCATGCCCAGCCGGGCCTCTTACTTTAAATTCCCATCTCCCCGACTCCATTCACTTTTTCAGAACAGTAGATAAAAGACACAAAGAAACAGGAAGCCGGAGAGAATAGCAGGCTCTGGCCAGGGCACCTGCCACACCTGAGGACAGAAGGTGAAGTGAAACTTGGAGACCATGATTCTGTTAAAGCAGTTTATTCCATCCATCAGTAAATGTGACCTAATGTAGATCAAATGAAGACCAATCAGTAAAGAGACTCCCAGGGGAGGCGCTGGATGACAGAAGCTGTGTCCTCCATCAGCCCCCTCCAGCTGGGCAGAGAAGATGTATATGGAAGTTCTGTTCTCACCATGGGCAGAAGCAGTAGAAAGGAGAATGAATTACCTCACTTCTCAACTGGTAATGGACAAAACAAGGGGCTGGGTATATAATTTAAAATTTAAACCTGGGGATGTTAAGTTATGGCTCCCTGCAGAGGGCTATGGCATGTGGGGCTGCCCCCACAAAACTGTCCTTGCCAATCTGTGGCTAGGACTTCAGTGTAATTTTATTTAGCATCACAAACTTATGCTTATCAGCTTCATTTATTTCTATACTTTGGTTTCCTAATTCTTGATAGAAGCACTTTTAGAAAATTTTCATCCGTTGGGTGCAATACTCAGTTTAAAACATATTTTAGCACCCATCAAGTGGTAAGTTTGCAGAAAATGCCAGGGCATACTACTGAAAGCCAAAGAGGAATGGCCTTTGGCCTTAGGGAACTTTCAGTCCAGTGGCAGGTGTGAATGAGGTTTTACATGGACGACATTTTTTTTTCCTAAGGCCAAGACATTGGAAAATTGGGAAGTGGTGTATGTTAGGAGATACTAAGTATCCTACATCCCTAAAGAGAGAAAGTGTAATGGCATAAGAGGTTCCAGCTCTGACCTTCTTAGAGAAACCAGGAAGCTGGGGATCTCACCAGCCCACATGAATTTGCCTCAAACAGTTTTAGACATACGAAGGAAGATGAAGTATACACGCAGATGGTACATGGTTCTCCCAGAAGTTTGTATCGTTCTGATGACCTCTCTCATACTGACTTCTGTTACAGGTTTTGACTTAGCTGTCATACTACAGCAAACACTCCTGAAAGGCGAGTACTCTGTATCTTTTTCTTTTTGTAACTGCACAACAATTAATGCAGACTCATACCAACCAAAAGCTGACAAATAAGTTTTAAATGAATGAGTATATTTGTGTTGCTAATGGGAGGCAAGAAAAGGGAAATACTAAACAAAAGGAGCAGAACAGGTTTTAAATAGAAGGTAAGCAATGGAAAAGAGACAATAACAATAAGACATGGATCAGCACAGCTGCTCAAAAGAAAGTCACTCAACCAGTTTTAGGACTTTCAACACTCATCACTGGAACTCTCATTCCTCCACCCCAATTCTCTCCTAGTGCCCAGGCCTTCATTAGTTCCCACCTACACTTGTGAAACAGTCTCCTCTAACTGGTCTCTTTTTTCTCTCCCTACACATATTACACAGCCAGAATACCTGTGTTTTTCATCCTGGCTGTGTGACGTTAGACAAATTATTTAGGCACTGCTCCTCTACTTCCTCATCTTTATTAAAAGAATAATAGGCTGGGTGCGGTGGCTCACTCCTGTAATCCAAGCACTTCGGGAGGCCGAGGCGGGCGGATCACGAGGTCAGGAGATCGAGACCATCCTGGCTAACACAGTGAAACCCCATCTCTACTAAAAATTCAAAAAAATTAGCCGGGCATGGTGGCAGACTACTCAGGAGGCTGAGGCAGGAGAATGGCGTGTGAACCCGGGAGGCAGAGCTTGCAATGAGCCGAGATCGCGCCACTGCACTCCAGCCTGGGCGACAGAGCGAGACTCCATCTCAAAAAAAAAAAAAAAAGAAGAATAGTAGCATCTATGCCTCACAGAGTTCTTGAAAGGATTAAGTGAGTTACATGTAAAGCATTTAAAAGAATGTCTGACACACATTACCTGCTCTATAAGTATTATTATTAGTAGTATTATTATATATTTTATTATTGCCTTACAAAAAACTCTTCCACAGTTTCCCATTAACTTAGAAATGAAATTCAAAATTTTACTCACGGCAGCCAAGACATTTTATAATCTGAACCCTCCCAACCCTCTAACCATCTCCCAACTCTTCCTGTCCCCTCAAAAAATCTGTATTTTTGCCCCACTGAACTACTGACAAGTTCTCAGAACTGAGTGCACCTTTGCTTAAGCTGTGCTCTCTGCCTAGAATGGCCTCTTTCCTCCTACTATCAACCACCTAGCAAATTCTATATTTAAGTTTTAATTCATGCAATATCTCCTGGAACATGTTGACTCCTCTACACTCCTTTCTCTCTGTTCCAGTTGCTACTTGTACATACCTACATTCTGAGAATCGTCCACCTGTATTATAAATATTGTCACTTTATATGTCTGTTTCTTTCCATTAAGAGCTTCTTGAACTGAGAGATGCATTTCTTTTATCTACCTATTCCCTAATCCTACCGTAGACCTGGCATACCACTGTAGTTAAATAAATGCCTACAGAAGAGAGGAAGAAAAGAAATGAGGAAAAGACAGTGTTTTTTTTCCTTCATATATCATGGCCTCTGTGGCCCCAATCCTCTTCTGCATTCTTCCATTTCCCATATAAGTCCTCTTTAGCCGACAAGTTCAGCCTAAAGCACATGTAACAGTTTTTCTACACTGCAAATGAATTCGGGGTATGAATTACATATTATAAATAGACACATATATATTATACATAGACACATATAAGTACTCTTGGGGAACTCTGTTCATCTTGTTACTTATTCACGTATTACTAAGGTTTGTACAATCGTTTCAAGCTTCTTTTCCTAATCTATGCTTGATCCCAACCTCCAGTCCAGCTCATCTCATCTGATTCCTGGGAAAACTGAGTACTTGTACTGACTTATTACTTGCCCTGTCTTTTAATCATGGAATCCCTCTAAACTAGGATCTCTCTTCTTGAAGATCCCAGCAAACTTTATCACTGTCCTTAGTTTTAAAAATTCTTCCTTTTCATAATCTCAAACTTCCAGTGACTAAACAATGCTACTCTGCTCTCTCCTACCATCATCATTCATCCCAATCTGTCATTACATCAACACTTTTCCAATTTCTTTAATTCAGTTACATAAGGTTTATTCAAGCTCTACATATGTACAGTTGAGAGAGGACATTTTGGCACCCTAGAATCAAGTGGAGGGATTTTGAGGCTCTAAAGAAAGAAAGAAATTCAGGAAAATAAACAACTTAAAGAAAGTATAAGAAAAGGTTACAGAAAATGGAAAACATGCTGGTTTCTTTAATAGTTATGGTATTTGCTATAAACCAATTTACCACTAAATCCAGAATTTCCCAATCTCAGCATAAGATACTGACAGATGAGATACCTAAAAGAACATTGTAATTAGTCCACAAAATAGATGGAGAAAGCAGCAGAGCAAGGTCAACAGGGTGGAAAGGTTAAGACCACAGTTTAATACCAATCTGTTCTTCCTTCCCTCCTCCACCACACTACTCCAATTCCTGTGTCACTACTGTGACAGAGTTGTCACAGAGCTGTCACAGTAGGCAATCTTTTACACAAATCAAAATGAAAGTTTGAATCATAAATAAAGATAAAGGGCTCTGCTGGTTAATAGCTGGAGTTGCTTCAAACTCTAAAATGCTATGAATTTATGAAGTCTGTTCTCAATACTCAAACTTAACCATGCATTGTAATTCAACTAAAAAACTGTTTCACAGATGAAGATCATATTAAAGCTACTTTAATTAGTATTCAGAGAATGCACACACTGGAGCTGCTAAGGAAACGAATGAGGTAATACTGATACTGGAATATTTTGTAAGGTACTAATAAAGCAAAAATTTTCAAAGAATTTTAAAATATGTGATCCCTGTTAATACTCTTAACAGGGTTGACTCCTTGCTAGAAGTTTCCACGGCATTTGAAATGACTGGAATATCAAACAAATGTCTTCATAACTGCCCCTTTCTCTGTCTCCTATGAAATAAATTTAATGGCGAAAATTCTTACTGTGTTGTATTTGGAAAAGCAAAACAACTTTTAGAGAAGAAGTATTTATAATTACTGAGCAATAAAAATACTTTAAAATTTCTGTACTTAAAAAGATGTGTGCAGACAAATCATTACATTAAGAGAGAAATCTGAGATTGAACTCTGGCTTATTTACTTACAAGTTGTGTGACTCTGAAGTACTTACTTAACTCTCTGTAAAGTAGGATGATAATATCTGCCATAATAAGTTGCTATTAAGATTACACGACTAATGAACATAAAGTTCCTACCTCAGTAACTTCTTAGAGGTAACAATTTAAAGTGTTTAAGTTCCTTTTTCTTTAATATGCTTTACTTACTAAATTCCTACTATGCACTAAAAAACAAGCTGCTTCCCTAACAACTTGAACACTTTTTCTCTCATATCTCAGAAGAAATACTATTATCTAAAGTTCTTGGAATCAAGAATATTGTTATAATTTATTTATTTAAATCCTCTTCAAATGTAAAATTTTTCTTTCAAAACATAAAAATACTTTTCTGTTTTAAGAATAATTTGTGTACCAGAAATTCTCAGGATAAGAAAACATTCTGGACTAATAAATAACCTATTATTTCAAAGCCTAATTCCAGTAAAACAAAAGAATCTGGAAAGTCCCTCACATTCATTGTAACAGGAAAAAGTGCTATAAACTTCAGCCAGAACAGCCAAGATAAAGGCAGACTTGACTGTAAGAGAGGTATTTGAATGCAGGATTATTCCCTGTGAATTTTACTGTGATGTGGAAATGAACCCTTACTATATTACCCAAGAAATTAAAAGTTCATAAACAAACAAAAAAAATGAATGAAAGACCATTTTTCATCCGCATTTCAATTTCAGAGAAAGAGTATTAACAGGGATCACGGCAGGTAAAAAGAAGTTATTAGGTAGGACTAGTAACATTTGAAAACCTATTTTAAAGCTGACTTACAATGAAAATGCAGGCTTTAAAATACATTAAACAAAAGAATTTGACAGTGTAAATACTCTGCCGTGTTTTGCATGGCCAATCACTCCCATGTACTTTTCAACTCACATAAAGCCTAAGCTATTTCAGTCTTTGAGACTATAATAGCAACAACAGCCACTGGAAAACAGTTGGGAATGACTTGAATTTCAATCCTTTCAAAAATTCCTTGAGCTATGGACAAAAATGTTTATCTGGAACTCTAAGGAGACTGCTGCCATTAACTAAAGGACAATGACCAGCTTGTCACTATTTACCTCACTAATAACTTGTAAATGATTTCTAAATTTATCAGGCAACAGTAGCAAAAATTGCCATATTTATAAAAGTGGCATACTCTACAACTCAAAGCAATAAATATATATTTGGTATCTTCTATGACTACATCTAAGCCATGGTGGTAGGCACTGGAGTAGGTAATAAATAAATACATATTGTTTCTGCTTTTGAAGGGTTGGGTATGACTCTGTTACCACTTAATTTGTGAGCATGCCACATTTTATTCAGCTACTCCTTTTCATCCAGGAAATATTGAGTACTTCTCATTTTAAAACTGAAATTAAGCTATTTTTATTTTTAAAATGACAATAAAGGTGAAGTTAACTTGGTGGAATCCAATGTCATAGAATCAGGCTCCTTTTAATCTGCTAATACACAGATGTGGCCAGGAGAATCTTCTCATGTTACTCCTTCAGCTGTCTTCCGGCCTGGGATTTTCTATCTCTGCTACACTCCTCACCCTCATGCTGTCTCTCCTCAGTCTCTCCCTTCCTGCGAGTGTCTCTGCTTCCCTGTCTCTACCTCCAGATGGCTTAAAATATTTTTGGTCTGTGCGTCCCAACTCATATAAAGCTATACCTGAGGCAGCTGGAGGTAACTAGCACACAGTTTTAAGTTTTTACCAGTGATCCATGAATGAAGTCTGCATAAATCTTCAATATATTTGGATTTTTAAATAAATGTAGATTATTGCATATCAAAGTAGAAAATCTACATCTTCATTTAAAACTGCAATACAATACTTATAAAATCTCCAGCCACTAAAAATACAATTATTATCTTAATGTGGTGGGGGAAGGGTTGTCCATAAAACACTTGACATTAAAAAAAAAAAAAAAAAAAAAGAGGACCTTATGTAAGGTTAGAAGCCAGTGCCCAGCACTGTGAGCTCCACAGCAGGTATGAGAACTTCCTTTCTATCCCCAGCTATCCACACAGCAAGTGTTTAATTAGTATATGCTGAAACACGAATCTTAAACATTTTCGTTCAAGATATAAGCATAATGACTAGGACCTGGGTCTCTCTCCACCACCATGCTGTGATGCCATACTAATTTCCTCTACTCTATTCCTAGTCTGTTTTGAGACATATATACAAAGGCTAATGAACAGGTGGCTACAGGTGAAAGTGGGAGGTTCAGGCAAGGAAGGCGTCTTTTTGATCTGGATAATGGGGTGAATGGTGGGGCCGTTCACCAAGTGCAGCAGCAGGAGACACAAATTTGTGAGACAAGGCATAGAACTTAGTTTTGCCCACATTGAACTTGCAGAATCTGTAATACATCTTAGTGAGAAACAGTTTCAGTAACATGACAGGAGCAAAGCCAGACTTCAGTGAGCAGAAGAGCAAGAGGAAGGTGAAAGGGGCAGAACACTGAGCCTGGGCCTAAGCAGGCTAAAATCCTGAGATACTTCTGACTCTTCCCTCATTCTACATCTATCCAGAACACGACTGTGGCTTACAGAAGTACTGCTCAGTTCTCACTTCTCTAATTTCTCCTGCTTTCTATTTCAAGCCGTCACTAAGCCAGGTTACTGCAATACTTGCCTGACTAGTCTCCCTGCCTCTGGTCTCTCTCCACCTCTTTCCAAGCAGTCTTACAAAATATGGTCCTGAAAATGTCACTTTTCTGATAAAGCTTTCAATAATACCTCAGTGTCTAAGACCCTGCAAGGCTTAGTATTCTGACTTCACTTTTCTTTCATTCTTATCTCTATTTCCAGTTGGTCAACATTTGCTTGGGGATTTGTCATCTCCATACTACTTCAAGAGGATATTCCTCCATCTGAATATGAAACAGAGAGAGGGAAGTCAGGGAAGTCAAGTAGTTACCCGACTACCTACCTGACTTCCCTCGCTGTTTCTCCCTCTTTCCCTCAGTCACACCCATTTTGTTGCCAAGAAACAAAACAAATATGATATTCTTGAAGTACTTTACAATGGATTCCATACTAATACTTATCAACTGAGGAGGGAAATAGGAAGAAAGGAGAGAAAACTTATCCTTATTATGTCCTAGGCTCTTTACATATGCTATTTCATTTAACCTCATTCTTCAAAGCCTAGCCCAGGTTTCTGCATCTCCACAAAGGCTTTCCATTAGAATGGGATCTTTAACTCTCCTTTGAACCCCTGTAGCATATTCTATCTCTCCCGATCTCAATAAAGAGATTATAAATTCTTTAAGGGCAAAGATTATAAATCTCTTTATGTCCACCTCTTATGGCTGCTAGTCATAATGTAAATCTGAAGGAAAAGTCCAAATTTTTAAATTTAATGAACATTATGAAATTTTAAACCTCAGTAATAAATGGTAGTCCTGAGGAAGGGTTTTAAAAGAAAATTTATTCTAAAAGTATCAGAAAAACATGTTCCAAAAGTTAGTAATTTTACTTGATTTTAATATGTTACTCAGAAAATTACTTTAAAGGGAATATACATGAATATAAAATGAGAGAAAAAACTCACATTTTTGTTTGTCTTTCTGACTTAACCCACAGTAAAGAAGAACTACATTTGCATCGTTCCTCTAAGATGAACACGAGGAGTTAGCAGAATAAACAAGACTAGGTGTGTACTGGTTTCTCTTTGCTGCCACTATCTTTCCTGCCAGATGGGCCATAAATTATTGGTTTAGACAATAATTTTGAACCAAAGCAGTAATTAGCTGGCAGTAAACATGTTTGCATCCTCTATACTCTTCGAAAAAGCTTTAATTACATCTACATGATCCAAAATCACTCATTTGACTAAGCAATCCTCTCTTCTAAATCTTGCATCATTATCTTTCTGACTTTGTCAGGTAATGACCTACTGATTTCCCTCTCTCAGTTTCTCCCTCTTTCCCTCAGCCACACCCATTTTTGTTGCCAAGAAACAAAACAAATATGGTCCTCTAGAAGTACTTTACAATGGATACCGTACTAATACTCACTTATTAACTGAAGAGAGAAATAGGAAGAGAGAAAACTCATCTTTATTATGTCCTAGGTTCTTTACATAGGCTATTTCATTCAACCTGTGTAAAAGCCCTAGAAGGCAGGTACAAGTGGTTAACTGAAACTCAGTTACATAACCTGCCTAAGGTCACATAGCCAGGAAATGGTGAAACCAGGATTTGGATCAAGTTTGCCTAATTTCAAAGCCAATGCTGGTGCCATTCACCTTCTTTACATCTCTATTTCATGGACCTTAAAAATTCTACATATTAAAATTTCATTTTGCAAAGACTATTTTAGGTGTGATCCAAAAAAATTTTTAAAGATTTAAAACTAAACAGATCTTTAAACATATTATTCCTGGGATTGCTTTCCCAAAGGAGTATAGATTGAAGTAAGTTTTCCTTCAGAGAAATAAATAAGACTTTCATATGTTAAAAAAAAACTTTCAAGATGTAAAGTCAAAGTGAAGAATTTCACAATACAAAATACATCCTAACCAACCCATATTTATCAGATCTGTTTATTGTCAAACTGCCACAGACTATTCAGAATTAAATTGTGCCTTCAAGTCCATTTCCAACAATCTTTAAGGCCTACTGAATTGAAGAAAAAGAGATATATAAGATAAATACTTATTTTCTATGTCTGCTGATTGATTTGTTGATTGACAATTATGGTCTCTTCCAGTGTGCGTGATGTTGACGAAACAGTCCCTAAAACATATTTTCTTTTTTTGAGACAGAGTCTCACTCTGTCGCCCAGTCTGGAGTGCAGTGGTGCGATCTCAGCTCACTGCAACCTCTGCCTCCCGGGCTCAAGTAATTCTCCTGTCTCACCCTCCCCAATAGCTGGAATACAGACGCGTACCACCGCATCCTACTAAATATTTTTCTGTATTTTTAGTAGAGACGGGGTTTCACCATGTTGGTCAGGCTGGTCTTGAACTCCTGACCTCAAATGATCTGCCCACCACGGCCTCCCAAAGTTCTGGAATTACAGGCATTGAGCCACAGTGCCTGGCCCCTAAAACTGTTGGAGGCCAAAAGAGTGAGGGTTGTGATCAACTCAGTATACCACTGAAGGCTATATGAGTAAGCAGCAAACTGTCATAAATGCAGAATATTGGCAAACTGACAAACTGCGTCTGCCACCCGGAAGGATTGCTGAGGGCAGTCACGACCCAGGCGCAAGTGTTTCTTATGATTAGGCATAACTGAAGCCTGTTAGTAACAATATGAACCTGTGATGGATTAAGCAGCTGACTAATTGTTACCTCCTCCTCCCTGCCCTTGTTACCCAATAAATACCAAGGGCTGTAGAAGCTTAGGCGGCTGCCTTTGCTCACCAGAAGCAGGGAGCCCTTTTCTTCTTCTCTCTTCTTCCCCATGCTAGCCTTTCCTTTAAAATAGTTACTTTTGTCTAAAGTTTTCATTTCTACGTTCGTCCGTCCCTTCATTCAGTCTCATAATGATGGTCTAAAGGAGTAACAGTAGTAACTGTTGGAATGATGGCTCAAGTAGTAACAGTAGTAACTGCTGTAATGATGATCTCAAGTAGTAGTTGTGGCAGTCAGCCACATAAAACATATTTTTTAAAAAATTCCAGAATTTTTAGTTACTCACAGAATGCATACATAGAAGCATAGGAATGAACTAGCAAATATAGTCAATAGGGTTATAAATTTGGAAGAAAAAAATAAAAGATGACTTTCTGGCTTAGGATGGGAAACCATATACACAAGTCAGTATCCAAACGAATGTTTCTATCTAGTGGCCCATTAACCTATAAGCTTTCCCCCCCTTTTTCCTTTCACTCTAACATATAGGATCTTTTTAAAGCACACAGAAAATAATTTAGGTATAATTTTTATTACAGAATACTGACAGGGGAGAGTAAAAAATGAAAAGTACTTTTTAACAGAGATGCAGTTGCTCATAAGTAGAGGAAGAGTGACCCCTATTATGCATCTATCCCATCTTATCAAATATCTACTAGGAGACTAGTCATTAAGTCCTTTGCCACAGCAAAGAAAGTAAGGAGGGCATAAGCTATGAACTGATCTGAGTTTGTTAGGCAAATCACACAAACTCTCTAGGCCAGGCTTGTCCAACCCACGGCCCACAGGCTGCATGTGGCCCAGGATGGCTTTGAATGCAGCCCAACACAAATTTGTAAACTTTCTTAAAACATTATGAGGTTTTTTTGTGACTACTTTAAGCTCATCAGCTATCGCTAGTATTAGCATATTGTATGTGTGGCCCAAAACAACTCCTCTTCCAACGTGGCCCAAGGAAGCCAAAAGATTGGATACCTCTAAGGCATTATATATTCACCTGAAATAGGCTAACTTCTTCCTCAATGGATTGATATAAGGATTTAATGATATATGTAAGAAAAAAAAAATTCACAAAGCATGTCAATACATGTTTGTCCTCTTTCCCACTCCTAAGCAGCATTTCTAATTTTAATGATGGATGGGGGACATAATCAATCAGACTTAGTCCTTCTGAAAAACTGTCATCCTCCAACCTAAGAATTAAAAACAAATAAGCAAAGAAGAAGTAGTAAAAGCTAAACTGAAGAATAAACACTAGAAAAGTACGTGAAATACCAAAGAAGAAAAAAAAAGTAACTTCAAATGGGATGATGTGAAACTCCAATTATTAAAAGAAAAAAAATCTAACTAAATATCTTTTAATTCACATGAACTGAAATGTCCCAGATAGAGAACTGAAAACTTCGATTGAAAAAAGTACTTTCTAAACTCCTGCCTCTATTCTATTGGTGAAAGAAACAGCAGAGTTGAACCCATAAAGCTAACAGTAATGGGATATTAAACAACCCATTAAAATGAGACAAAAGATGGCTAATAGCTTCAGTCTGGTACAACAGCTACTTCTTCTTTTCTCTTATAATCCAATGTACCTATTAAATTACTCCAATCTGTCATTCATTAGCAGCAGTATTTGGACCTCTGGCAATCTTTTTGTTGTTTGAAGGATGAAGAAGAAGGGGAAGGCAGAAAGAGTAGTACATCAATATTTTTCAAAACTCAATTCTTCTAGGTCTTTCACTTCTAATCATAACAAGTTAGACAGTAAATGAAGTTTGAAGAATAAGAAACAAAAATTTTAAAAAACCACAGACATGCCACTACTAGTAATATAAAAACAAGGAAGAGTAGAAAAACTATATATATATATATATATATATATATATATATATATTCTGTGATTCCAAGAGGATTAATTTAACAACATAAAATAAGAATAAAAATATATAGTACTGTATTTTCTGATGAATAAATGATGCTTGCATACCCATCTGACCTACCTTTCACCTTAAAGTGAGCAGAACAGTACAAGTCACTTTGTTAACCTGGCACAGTTTAAGATAACTCCAATGAAGAAAGTCCAATTTCCTGATTCTCTCAGCCAAAATAAGCAAACTTAAGTTGGTTTGATCTAATAGCAAGCTCTAGGGAACTTATCCATTTACAGTTGAAAAACCAGAACAAGAACCACTATTTTTATTACAAAAAGGGAATTTAGAAATCACCCATGACCTCATTTTATAGTCAAGAAAATTAAGGCCCAGTAGTTTAGCCACTAGCCCTAAATCATACAATAAGCATGTAACAAGTTTATCTATGTCCTACTATGTAGCTAACTACTGAAATAAATGGAACAGTTAAACACCTTTTTCATAGAAACCAGTTCTAATACAGTTAATAGTTTAATTAGACATCGAAGCTTTTGAAAGTAATTTTCTTCTTGTATCAACTGAAATAATGTAATTTTAAAAAATGATCCACTTTGATTTGGATCAAAATCATAGGCAAACACATTTGACATTTAAAAATAAGCACTGTTATTTGCCTGACTTCCCCAAGAGTAAAAATAATTTTAAATAGAATTTTTTATAGTTCAGTTGCAGTACTCCTAGAATTAGTTTCACGGCCAGGAAAAAAATATGTTTTTTCCAATTTTTTCAACGATAAAAGACAAATCAAAATAAAACCATTCACACTTTTATGTTCATTAGAAACACAGAGTATACTGAGTCAAGTCTTATTTTTTAGGATGTCATAGAAAGAAAATGTGTTTGCTTTATTATATGCCCCCAAATTAAAGTAGACATAAATAACAGTTACAAAACCACCAGACTCAAGCAAGTATCTTTATCTTACTTTTTCTTATCTAAATCCTATTTTAAGATATTGAGGTTGGGCCTAAAAATGAAACCAAATTTTGAATATACACGTATATTTTCTTAAAAATTAGTGGATATATAAGAATAATATTCAATGCAAAAAAATTAACAAAACAAAATTACTGGTAATTTTCTTTTCAAAAACAAAAACTGGGTTTCGTTCTCTCCTTGGGAATTCTTAGGTGGAGGAGAGCAGAATTTGGGCAGCAGTGGTCCTCATCCAGTGTTTCTACAGTGCTAGCAGGAAAAGGCAGCGCCACCACTATTGAGTTGGGGGAGACCTGGTCTGCTCCTTCCTCTGGCCTTCCTTTCCGTGACTGTAAGTTATTTCTCTCCAAAACGCTGCTCTAGATCCCTGGCCAACCAGCTATAACTTTCCGGAGCTTTCTCGCAATGTTTTCATAGGCCCTGGAAAACTTAAATTTGATTGCAAACAAGGCAATGACCCACAAGGCCCTACAAGTTCTCGCCACTTCTACTCCCTTCCTGCTACCTCTCTGACCTTACTTCTAACCAGTCTGCCTTCACTCACTCTGTTTGGCTATACCAGCCTCCCTGACAGAGGGCCACCACACTGGCTCTTCGCTCTGCTTTGGATACTCATGCAATTCCCTGGGAAACTGCAGTTTAAAATAGGGTGGTAAGGAAAGCCACAGTGAGAAGGTTATTGGATATCTGGGCATGAGTACCCCAAGTGAGAAGGTGCTCCCTCACATGCTTTATTTTTCCCTATAATATTCCGTGTAATATATCCACACGAGATATATTACATATTCTGCTTACTTGTTTATTATCTGTCTCAGTCCTCTAAAATGTCAGTACTATGAAAGCAGAGATTTTTGTTTGGTTTGTTCACTGCTATGTCCCCAAAATCTATAACAGTGCCCGGCACATAGTAAGAGTTCAGAAAATATTAGTGAAATAGATAAATGATTCCTACTTTGGGAAATAATACTGGTGCCTATCAAAAACAGACTACTATACAAGATGCTATCAAATACAAATAGAGTAAAAAAAAACATGGTTTTTGCTCTTAAAGAGTCTTCTTGGAGAACCACGACTAATATACACGGAATAATTAGTAAATAACATAGGCAGTGCTAGGTATGACTATTAGCTAATTAGGTTTATTTGTATAAGACTCGTGGAATTGCCCTTGTTATTCCTGATTATACCTAGTGTATAATTAAACGCTGAACTGAATGGCATAAACTATTTCATACAAGTTCAGAAGGGGAAAAAGGAGTGAGGTGCGATAGTAGGAACAGACTGTGGGCAGGAGACACTCGATTTGGGTTTAGTGGATGTGAAGGCATGCACTGGCAGTGAACAGGTGGTGGGCATTTCAGATGAAATGAATTTCATGAGAGGGCATAAAGGCAAGAGAAGGATGGTGAGAAACCTATCCTAAATGGAAGAAAGGGCATTCAGTGATGAGTGGTGGTGATCTGGAGAGGACAATGTGAGGAGGACTCGATTACAAAGAACACGACCTTCTGAGCAGAGGGATTAGTCTGGATAGAATCCCATAGCACGTGCTGTTGTCTGTGCCCAGCTTAGATCTCCTGGAACCCTTCTAATGGTTTGGTACACCAATTCCCCAGGTGTTTCTTCCATTGCTTCTAATGGTTCACACCAGTAACTTTCTTTGGAAGCAATATAAGCTACCTCCTAGCCCTCTTCTCTGTTTACTCACACAACATACTTCCAGGGCAGCTGACAGCTAATAACTAACAAATACAAGGAAGGGGGTACAAAAGCCCAGTTTCATTGCCTCAAGGCAAGACAGACTCACTCTGTAGTGCAATTTTGTTCCCAAGTTTCCTGCTGGATCAAGTGAAGCTGGATATCCCCTGAAATCACACCTTTGCTCATCTCAGTTTCTTCTGCTTCCCAATCCTGTTTCACTCACTGCTTTCCTTAAAGGAATCCCTTACTGTATCACTTGCACAAGAATCCCCATCTCAGACTCTGCTCTAGGAAATTGGACTAAGACAAGTCTGTAAATGATAGTAGTATATATTCATGCAGAAAACTTCAAGTTTATGAAGGGAAGAGTTCACTGAAAAAGTACTCTTGTAGGTAACTTAGTTTGGAAGAATTCAGAGTAATCTGGTTGGTGAGAAGTGGAATGAAGAACTGACCAGAGGACAATTAAGAATGCTGTTCAGGGCCACGCGTGGTGACTCATGCCTGTAATACCAGCACTTTGGGAGGACAAGGCGGGCAGATCACGGGGTCAAGAGATCAAGACCATCCTGGCCAACATGGTGAAACCCTGTCTCTACTAAAAATACAAAAATTAGCTGGGCGTGGTGATGCGTGCCTTTAGTCTCAGCTACTTGGGAGGCTGAGGCAGGAGAATTGCTTGAACCTGGGACGTGGAGGGTGCAGTGAGCTGAGATTGTGCCATTGCACTTCAGCCCGGGTGACAGTGTGAGACTCTGTCTCAAAAAAAAAAAAAAAAAAAAAAAAAAAAGAATGCTGTTCAGGCCGGGCGCAATGGCTCATGCCTGTAATTCCAGCACTTTGGGAGGCCGAGGCAGGTGGATCACTTGAGGTCAGGAGCTCGAGACCAGCCTGGACAACATGACGAAACTCCATCTCTACTGAAAATACAAAAAAATCAGCCAGGAATGGTGACATGCGCCTGTAATCCCAGCAACTCGGGAGGCTGAGGTAGGGGAATCCCTTGAACCTGGGAGGTGGAGGTTGCAGTGAGCTGAGATGGTGCCAACTGCACTCCAGCCTGGGCGACAGAGCGAGATTCAGTCTCAAAAAAAAAAAGAAAGAAAGAAATGCTGTTCAAACTTGGAAAACATACTTACTTTGATATAAGAGAGAAAACTTAAGGAGAGAATGGTCCTGGTATAGAAAAGAATCAAAGATAACTCTTCAAAGTTGTATTTTTTTCCTTAAAAGGCAAAAGTATTTCTTCAGTAGCACTGTCAATGTTATACTACGAATTTTGTTAACCACACACTCTATCAAAACAGGCTGACATTACCTAACACAAGAACTGCTCAAAAACTTGAAGAGAACGCCAATGAATAATAATGGGACTCTAAAATACTCCCTAATAGTTTGGGTCCTTGAATGTCTATTATTTAGAAATATGAAGATATGATTAAGTAGTATACTCAAATGTTTATAACAAGTCAATTTTGTAAGTTGGTTTGTCAGATTCTGTATTTAAGCAGCCTTAAAGAATCTTTATTAGAATCAGTAGCAGATTACATAAATTGGAAAGGCATCCAAACAGGGCAACATCTGGTTTTTATCTACTCTTATGGGGCTCAGAAGTGTTTTCAATAGAAAATAAGATTCTGGTTCCTGGGTCATAAAATAAGCAGCACAATGTGAAAACAAGCAGGCTGGTATGAAAGAAATTGTACGCAACCCATGAAAGAGCTCATACCCTTAAATAAACTTTCAGTTTTAGAATGTGTAAAACAGCCTGTCATCATCTCTATTTGTTTTGCTTTCTTGATATCTCAAACAAGTTAAGCTTCTTGACCTCTTGATTTCCCTTCAAAATTCATACTTGGTAAAT
This sequence comes from Homo sapiens, assembly GCF_000001405.40. Classification (NCBI taxonomy): domain Eukaryota; kingdom Metazoa; phylum Chordata; class Mammalia; order Primates; family Hominidae; genus Homo; species Homo sapiens. The sequence continues at coordinate 94,525,972 of NC_000004.12, read as the reverse complement.
TAAAAATGACTTTACTTTCATGTGATTAGTAACAACTTTCATGTTACATGTCTCAATATAGAGAACAGAAGAATACTAATGAAACAAATTTTTTTATAACCAATTACTTTTCTTATTGACTACTTTCCTACGCATTAAAATGTATAGCTAATAGCCTATCAAAATTCAAAATACATATAAACATTGATTCAGCAGTCCCACTGAAAAGAATTTCTCTAAGTTTTTTAAAAAGACCCTAAAGAGGAAACTGCTTAGAAAGTCACAATACCTCAAAATAGATCTGTATGTCTAAGTCAAAGTTTGCAAAAACAATTTCCTATTCAGTTTTAATACCAAATTGATACTCAGGTAAATATAATTTATCCTATAGAAATCCTTTCACTAGCAATCACCTAGGACAGCAGTAGCAAAAAGCAGAGAAGCACTGCCTAAGTGTTTTTCACAAAACACGACTCCTAGGAGAGGCTCCAAGAAAAAGGTTCCATAGCCAAATATGTTGGGAAGGTACCAGGTTTTATTTCCCTCTTTTTTTTTAATATTTTTTTGGGGGGTGGGGCGACAGAGTGTCGCTCCGTTGCCCAGGCTGGAGTGCAGTGGCAAGATCTTGGCTCACTGCAACCTCCACCTCTAGAGTTCAAGTGATTCTCCTGCCTCAGCCCCCAAGTAGCTAGGATTACAGGCATGCACCACCACACCCATCTAATTTTTGTATTTATAGTAGAGACTGGGTTTCACCATGTTGGCCAGGCTGGTCTCAAACTTCTGACCTCAGGTGATCCACCCACCTCAGCCTCCCAAAGTACTGGGATTACAGGCGTGAGCCACAGCGCCCAGCCTATTTCCCTCTTAAAGATTCATAATATGCATGATAATTTATGGAAGACTAAGATAATTATATGCAATATAATTATGGAAGAGATTGGGGAGGGAGAAAAAGTGGTGTTTTCCAAATTTGATAGAATTCAGAACACTTTTTGTAACCATCAAAAACAAGATTTGCTTAAAATCTCCATAACTACCTCGTATATGATCAAGCTACCTTCATTATAAAGCTGAAGGTTCACAGCTACCCTTCCATCACTCTGCATTCCCTCTTTCTCCTCCCTTGCCTTCAGCCCAGGATACTACAGTGATCAAACTTTGTAAGTCATAATAACCACAGAGAACTTCAATAAATATAACTCCTGGTCTTTCCTTCCAGAAATTCGGATTCAGTATAGACATCAGTATTTTTAACAAGCACTCCAGATGATTTTGGTGCAGGTTTCAAATGATGGGATGCTCAAAATACCTGATATATTATAAACAATGTGATGATTAATTATTTTATAACTTGAGGCCAGAGTGACTTTAGAAAGCAATAAGTTCAAAAAGTCCAGCCTTCAAATGACTCTATTAAAAATTTTCTACTCAGAAAAAAAAAAAGAGAAAAGGACAAACTAATGAAAGCCAAATCATATCCTAAAAGAATACCCTTTAATATAATGCTCAGAATTTTACCTAACAGAAAGAATTCTTAGCCTGCACTCCATTGAGAAATTTCAAGAATTCCTGAATTCTCTGAAGCTGTATACACAATTTTTTTTTTTTTTTTTTTTTTTTTTGAGACAGGGTCTCGTTCTGTCACCCAGACTGGAGTGTGGTGGCACGATCAGAGCTTAATGCAACCTCGACCTCCTGGGCTCAAGCAATCCTCCTGCCTCAGCCTCCTGGATAGCTGGGACTACAGGCACACGCCACCACGCCTGGCTAATTTTTTTATGTTTTGTAGAGACGAGGACTCATTATATTGGCCAGCTGGTCTCAAACTCCTTAGCTCAACCAATCCTCCCGCCTTGGCCTCCCAAAGTGCTGGGATTACAGGCCCACACAATTTTTATTAGTATGGGAATACATGCCTTTTGATGGGGAAATAACTCATAGCTTTCAGCAATTCTCTTGCTGCTTAATTATCCAATTTAAGAGCCATTATATTTTTTATTTACCTGAAATGATGGTAGCAGAAACTGAGTCTTAGTTAACACCGTGAGTCAGACACACAAAAACACATTCCTCAATGTTGTTTTCTCTTTCAGGGACAAACAAAAAGCAACTTACCTTTGCAGAGTCATATTCAAAGAGCCTGTACAACCCTTAATCTTATTCTGGGCTTCAAGATGAGTCATTCCTTGTGCATTTATTCCATCAATGCTGAGAACCACATCGCCTATTCTTACATTTGCCTGGGCTGCCTTGCCGCCATCTTTTAGCTGTAATAAATATATTTCATTAGGAGTGTCACTCTTTGAAAAAGAATAATAAATGCTGATAAAAATTATACTTTTGCTTATACCAAAAGTATATTAATATACTATTGAAGTAACATAAAACTGTCTTGTTTAACATGTACAGAATTTTAGCATGTAAAGATAAAATTCAAATGATTTAAATGTTTATTTTCTTAAATTCTTATTTGCTCTATAAAAAAAAACTGAATTTTCTGAGAAAGATTCCCTGATCATTTCTCCATTTCTTTATTGTGCAACAGTAGTTGTGTGATTTTTATGAATCAGGAAGAGAAGCAGCCAAGGAAACTTCACATTTTAGCAGAATAAAAAGAATGCAATCTGAATGGGGTTTTTATACTCTTTTAGAAATAATTTTTTAAAACTCTTTTAACAGCTGTATTTTTGTTTGAGCACAAAGAGGAACAGAGAGGGAAGATCTGCTAAACAATCCTTCCTGTTGAGTCCAGTTCATATCCAGGGTTTGGGGATTGAATTCTTTCAGATTCCAAGCCCAAATATCTTTTATACTGGGTGTGCTTCCTGCTCTAGGCATTTGCAGAAGGGAAACTCTTTATATCTGAGACAACCCAACTTTTTTGTGCATGTCACAGTCCTTAATCCTTAGTCTTTCTTCCCCTGCTCAATAAAATCTTCTATGTGTTTACATTATTTAGTCTGATCTCCTTCAAATTTCGTGTGTATATATTTCATTGCCCCAAAAGAAGCAGATATATTATACTAAGTGACAGTGAACTTTTCATAGATATCTAGAAATATGAAACAAGTACAAATTAAAGAAACCATTCAAATTCATATGACAGCTCAGCATTCAGTAAGTATAAGTAGATCACACTGAATACTGAGTTGCTGGAAGATGGGAGAGACTAGGCCCGAAAAAGCAAGTAAATAACCAGTATTTCTCTAGTACTTGAAACTAAAATCTTATACAGAGTTTCTGTTTGTGATGATGAAAAAGTTCTAGAACTAGGTAAGTCAGAAGGTCGCACAACACCGTGACTATATTCAGTGAATGCAACTGAATTATACATTTTAAAATGATAAACTACTTTGGGAGGCCGAGACAGGCAGATCACTTGAGGTGAGAAGTTTGAGACCAGCCTGGCCAACATGGTGAAACCCCATCTCTACCAAAAATACAAAAATCAGCCGGGCGTGGTGGTGCATGCCTGTAATCCCAGCTACTCGGGAGGCTGAGACAGGAGAATTGCTTGAACCCGGGAGGCAGAGGTTGCAGTGAGCTGAGATCGTGCAACTGCACTCCAGCTTGGGCAACAGAGCAAGACTCCATCCCCTCAAAAAATAAAAAATAAAATGATAAACATGGTTAACTTTTATGTTATGTTTATTTTATCACAGTTTAAAAAAAAACCTAATGATTTTAGAAAACATTTAAAGAAAACAGTTCTGAAAGCGAGTGAGCTATACGCCACTTTCTCTGGGACTTCGGGAAGGTCGTTCCACTTATGCTATCAGGTTATCACGATTACACATAGATAATATAGTTGAATAAATGTTAGCTATTACTGTATTATTATTCCCTTGACCTCAGATTACTGATCTGAGAAATGCAGGGCCTGCACTAGACGATCTCAGAGGCCTTCTAAGGTCCCTGCCAGTTTTAAAAGTTTATCTGTGAACTGCCACCTATACAAAGTTACATGTTTAATCCTAAAATAAAAGTCAAATCTGGAAGACTTCTGTGAGACAAAGGGACATCTATTCCCTACTAAAATCAGCAAATGAAATAAAATTTGACATCTTTGTAATGAGAGAAAGTAAACATAAGTCATCCTAGATTTTATTTTAGCAAAGAAGGGCAGGCATTAAACAAAAAATTAACTAGAAATAGAATGCAGTTAAATTACCTCACCATCCTCACATAAAGTAGTCTGAAAACAGAAACACTGAAATCTATGGGCATTTGTTCTAAGTGTACCCAACAGAAGCAACTTAAATACTCCTAGTTCAGTAGTAATATAAAGGTAATGAACATCGTAGAAAGAAAATAATGGAATCAAAGACAATGTCATAACCAGATAACTTTTCTTATTCTGCTCCCTTTACATACTAGATCTCTTGAGAGGCTATCATCTCAAGACGTTCAAAATCAATTTCTTAGAATTACCTTTCTTTCTAGGACCACGTTTATTCTGTCACCCTTATTTTCAGATCATGGAGCACAGGAATCCTATAGCCACATGGATTCTGCCTCTTCCTTAAGTACCACATCTAGGAAAATTACTAAATGTAACAATGTAAATGTGATCTGTCCATCCTTCCATTCCTCTCCTATGACAGTCCAAGTCTTGATCATCTTTCACATTGCTCTTGCCTATAGCCTACTTGCCTTCCACTAGAGTTTTCTACAGACCTTTCCTACCTTCACATTCTCCATATTTGTCTCCTTTTCTTCCATCTTAACATTCCCGAATGGTGGCCCCATTACCTCTCGCACTGGAAAGTTCTAATCATATCAACTCCCTATTTATAAAATGAGAGTAGAAAAATTGCAAATGTCTTCTGCTTCCTACAATGTAGAGAAAATACAAGCCATCTATAATTTGTCACCAATCTGTTTCCAGCTTCAAAACAAGCTCCATAAGGTCAGGGATCATGTTTTATAATTTGCTCTTCTCCAAGAGCCTTGAATATTGTAGGTTTTCTAAAACTTTCACAACTTCCCTTGGCAACTTTGTATAACAATTATTAGGAAGAACTTAACTGTACTGAATCTTAATTCTTTCTCAATCAATTAGCACAAATGGAAACAAATGCCCATCAACATCTGAACAATCTTTCATATATTTAAAATGCCATACAAACTCCTTTTTGTTTACAGTTTTTCAGCCTGGTAATATTAATCATCTTGAGTTTTCCACACTGATGTCTTTTTGGAATCTCTAACCATTTTCATTATTCTCTACCCAGGCTTCCTACTCATAAGATGTAAACTTAAGGGCATGATCAGCTTGAACCAATGCTATACATAGTGGGAAATGCCCAATACACAGAAAAACAAATTTAGGACTTGTAAAAAGGAGCACTTAACTAAATACTCCTATGAGCTTCATTTATCTCCAGAACCACTTCCTCAATCTGTTCACTCATTAGAAAGATAAACGTTACTTTTCTCTTAATTGGGTAGGATGTAGCATTATGAATCTAAGCAGCCAAGGAAAGACTACAAAGTCATTCATCATTTGCATAGCTCTTTTTTTGATTTGTTTGTTTCACTGTTTTTCAGGTCTGAATAGCTTGCATTTGTTTAAAGCAGTAGTTTACTATCTGTCATCAGTATATCTTGTACACGGCAGCCATAAGTGTGTATGTATTTCATAAAAGCACAGTGTAGGAAGGAAGCAGTTGTGGGAGGCTCCTGGGTCGAGCTCAGCATAAATCAAACTAATCACAAGCAAATGCTTCCTTTTTGATCTTTAAATGCATTTTTCAGTACTGCTATCCAATTTTCCACAGACTTTAATTGTAGCTGAGTGCTTCTTCAAAAACATTACTTTGTGGTCTCACCTCAGTTGCAAGCACACATGGCTGTACATGTTGGAACTGCCTCTGAGTTCAGGTCTGTTCACTGATGCTGAAATGAAGGAAAACCAGAAAACTGTATGCTCCTGAAGAGAGTGTTATCTTTACCAAGCCTCCCCATTAACTTCAGTACGAAAGGATCTAATATCAGTTATCTGTACTTAGATTAAAACTCATCCCTAGGAACAGCTGCATTTTAACCCTTTTATCTGTAATCATGGATGACAAGAAGTCTTCTCTTGAAAAGGAAGTCCAGTCTTCAGCAAGCAGATAGGAAAGACTGTGGGAATTTGGGAGAGAATGTAAAAGAAAATGGAATCAGATCCTTGAGCTTGCCCATCTTACTTTACTAGGAAAGACCCAAAGATAAATTTTTTTTCAGTCATTTTAGGAAGGTAGCTCCTCTCATATAGTGTTTTACTGTCCTAAGAAAGAAACAACCCAGAAAAAGTAATTAGTACTATAATCTACCAAGCATGAACAGTAAATCGGGGACTTTGGAGGATGCTTCATCATTCCTCTGTTTTGTAAGGTAGTTGTCTGTTTTACAGATGGGAAAACAGAGCTTCAACGTGATTAAATAACTTGTCTATGTCCATACAACAATAAGACTACAATACTGAGCACAGGCTTTGAAGTCAGGCAAATATGAGTTTATATTCATGTTCTGCCATTTGCTGGTTGTGTGACCCGAATTTACTTGACCTCTCTAAGTCCCAGCTTCCACTCTTTGAAAATGAGGACTATAATTCCACCTGCCTCACAGAGCTGCTGGGCAGGTTAAATAAAACACCAGGACAGCACATACCACAAAATGCACCGGAAATGCTCAATATTATTGTTTATTCTTACACAATGTCACAAATTCACATAGGCAGGAAGCCTACTTCAAGGTCATACAGGGCAGAGAAGACAGCGTTTCAAACTGACCGGTCAGACCTCCTTCTGGCTTTTCACTTCCTTCCTTAAACTTCCTTCTGCTTCTCTAAGCCTAACTTTCCCCTCACTCAGCAACAGAGATGAATATGCCACACATTCAGAACGTAATTCACTGCATCCTCCTTCCCTGCTTACTACTATCCAATTATGAGTTTCCCAAAATCGATTCCTAAAGAATGGTGGCCTCTTGTCACTTCTCAGGACAGTTAGGTGTTGCCACTGTACCAAAAGGCCAAAGGATAAGAAGCAATAAAGCGATGTTGGTGAAGAAGCCTTGAGCTGGAGGCCAGAGAAGGACAGGAATAAAAGAAAAAAAGAGAACAGGGAAACAAAGAAGAGTACCGGTATAGAAGGCAGAGGAGGGAACCAAGACCATGAGGAAACAAAGATGTCCCCGGTGTTGGAAAGTGAGATCCAGGCTTTATCTCTAGGTGTGATATACATCCAAGTACATATGCACAAAATAATATCTAAACAGAACAGAACATCAAAATAATGATTAATTATAGAAAAGAGAAGATTCTATGTTTTGATTTGCATTTAAAATAATATACATGAACATAATTAGTAACTATAATTTCGAGTAAATTTTCTCACAGTAATACTTGCGTGCCTTTAAACATGTCATTAATTTATTGTTCTCAAATAAAATTTATAACTAAAATTACCCAAAATGCTTAGCCTCCACATACAATGTTCCAGCATTTGTTCCTAATCATTTTAACAATAAGAGAAAAAGTAGTACTGTGTCTTTATAAAATTACACTGAAAATAAAATATTAATATCTCAAGACAGCAGAACACTTAGACAAGGAACTCAAATGTGCACTAAATGGAAAACTTATCCACAAACAAGTATGTTATTTAGGATTTATAAGGAGTTGGATATACCTGCTACACTAAGCCTTCCCCTTAGCTATTACCTCTTGAGAGCACTTCTATCACAAACAAACCAATAGAGCTTTCATTTTTAAAAATTATAACCCATTATGGCAGATATCATTTTAAATAAGTCTAACCATCTAAGATTTCTCTTGAATATGATCATTCAATATAGCTCCTACATGCCCTAAGCTTTTCCATAAAAAGGCACGATGTTTAATCGCAACAGTGACTCCAATGTCTTAGAATTGTCTATATATGAAATTTATCCTTCTAAATTGCAGGAAATACTCAAAATGTACACAATAACCTCTATTTGCGTTTCCTTGGAAATAAGCCAGCAGTTGCCAAACTAAGAAAATAGGCATCAGCAATAGAAATGATTTATAATATGGACAGGTAACACCATTTTAATAGTCAGATGTTTACTAAATAGAACAATTTATGCTGATTCAAAAGAAATTTACTTTGGTGATTATCCTATAATGTACTACAGGCAACAAGTAGGAGACGTGTACCTATATAAAGAGCCACTACCAAAGGGCAAGTTTCAATCTTCTGCATATTTTCAACAAATATGGAATGCTTGGAAACACATGACCCTAACACTATGGGTATGGCAGGAATGCCATCAGATATAGTAAATGTAAAAAAGGAACATATAAACATGAGGGCTACAGAAAGAAACACTAACAGAAATTTCCCATGTCCAAAAACCCTGGGAACCAAACCATGGGAAAATGGAAGCTGTTGTTTTTCTGACAGTGCTGTTACCAAAATTTGAAGAATTATGCTAATAAAATTATATCAGTCTGACAAACAAGACTTTCTTGAGGCAGAAAAAGCACTGAGAAAGTGTTATTTTTCTTAAAATCTAATTAATGAGCAATCTTGAATTTTGTTTTAAAATATATTTTCCAGTACCTGCTGTCAAATAAAAAATTTGAATCTGGACATATAAGACTATGGTTGACAGTTTCTAGTTATCTCTCTCCCACATATTTCCCAGGATACCATAAACGTGACTATGTGACTTTTTGCGTCACCACCCCCTTGCAAAACACCTACATAAGAATGTGTGAGCATTACACCTATGACAGAGAACTTTCACAGAACTTGCTTTCCTGCCAACAATAGGTACTACTCAACCCACTCAACAACACAAATAAATAAAATCCCGGTGAAGTTTTTACGAGCAACTGAGGGACTAGTAAAGTGAGCAGAAGTAAAGAAAATGTGTGATGTGATGTCCCCCCCGCATATATGCATTAAAGCTTTTTTCAAATCCTAATTGGTTTATTATCATCCTAGTGCTTATTAATCTACCTTATAATATCACACTTCAGCATTTAACATTGTTCTGTCCTGCACTACTTGTTGTTATATAATGTTGGCACTTTGAGCAGTCTACAAATGCTATTCAACTACATTTAAAATGTCAATCTCTGGTTTATGTGTCTAATGTAAACATCCCTCTTAAAATCTAAGGCTGGGGTGGGCACAGTGGTTCATGCCTGTAATACTAGCACTTTGGGAGACTGAGGTGGGAGGATCGCTTGAGCCCAGGAGTTTGAGACCAGCCTGGGCAGCATAGTGAGACCCTATCTCTACAAAAAATTAAAAAATTTGGATGGGCATGGTGTGTGCCATCTGGGACCTGTGGTCCCAGCTACTCAGGAGGCTGAGGCAGGAGGACGACCTGAGCCCAGGAGATCGAGGCTGCAGTGAGCCATGATTGCACTACCATACTCCAGCCTGGGTAACAAGTGAGACCTCATACCAACTAAAAAAGAGAGAGAGAGAGAGAGAGAGAGACTGCTTTGGATTTATTACCTTTTTCTGTGAAATAAAATGATAAGGCTTTTTGTAGGTTAGAATGGTAGGGAAATAAAACAAGCAATCACCGATGTCTCTCTGTGAGCAAATGTGTAATCCTGACTCATATGAGCAGTACTTACTTTAACAGTGGGCCTTATTTTGGTTATGCCAATTTTACTCAAAAGTTAGAGAATACACCTTATATGGTAGCAATGAGGAGAATACCTCAAAGTACGTGTCATCCTCCCTTATAAAAGCAAACAGAAGAGGACAATTATGTCTCTTTTCCTTATGTAGCCATGGAGCTATCTAGTTCAAACACAGGGCTTTTGCTGATACAGCACGGTCTGTTCTAGTAGTCTAAGTTTATTTCCTATGATGAGCCCTTATTTAGTAAAACAGCATCTTACTCTACTCTACCAAAGTCCTAATAAATAGAAACATGTCTTCATCAACTGTGATTTACTATTGAGATGCCTCATTAACACTTCTGACTTATAGCTAATCTACATATGTCTAAATCCAAAGTGTTAATGTGTGAATATCCTACTAGAAATGTGAAAGTATGATAGTCTGTAAAAAGAACACATCCACAAACATCTGAAAATCAAACAAATTTGTTAATTACAGAGAAATCAGTGTTTCTATATAGCCTACTCTGGAATAGTGAGAGAAATGATAGGAAATGTCACAAATAATTATAAAGACTAAAAGCAAATTAGTCAAATCTAGCATACCTGGGAATGGATTAACAATGATAATCATACATTTCAACCCTCCCTCAATGATGAGACAAATCTTCTGAAATTGTATGCAAATTCTGTGCAAGCATGCATGTATATTCCATTGAGTGGGACCACGACTTTTCACAAATCCTCAAAGGCGTCTATAACCAAAAAAATTATAGGAACTTACGATTTAATGAAATGTGAGAACAGAGTTTCTCTAAGTGTGGTTGGTAAACACCAGGCCAGCATACTTCTACGACAGGAGGAAAAATCACAGGCCTTTCAAAACCCACAAGCTAAAGATATTTCAAAACAAAAAGCTCAAGAAAATTTAAGAACTTTTAAAACAGAATGCTTATTCCAAATAGTGCAAAATCATGATTTCACATGCTAAGGTAAGTATAGCTTATAAAAACAGGGATTCGCTTTTTAAAAACCTTAATAATCTTCAAAATGTTAATCATTAACATTTAATAAGGCCCTATTCCCATAAGGCATTACCTTCAATTCTAAGAAAAGATATTAAAGAAGAGGCAAGGCTCTTTCTCTCATCTACTGTTTTATACTATTCCACTTTTCACATGTGTACCCAACTCTCCATAATACAATGCTCCTCAAACTAACTGTATCTTATATTTCTATTTAGGGCTATCATACACAGACGTAAACACAAAACACAATAAACATCTGATGAACTGCCACACTGCAAATCAAAGGTATTTAGTCAACAGGCTACTATTTAGTCTTTTAAGTTACTTCCTAATTTTTTTGTTGTTATACATAAAGTGATGAATAATATTATACTTCTATTTTGGCATATGTATCTTTTCTTTAGAAATTCTTTCTTAAAAAGTATGCACATTTAAAAATAAAATCAGAAATTAAAAAGGAGACTAAATTACTACTGATACTGCAGAAATCCAAAGGATCATTAGTGGCTACTATGAGCAACTGTATGCCAATAAATTGGAAAATCTAGAAGAAGGGACAAATTCCTAGACACATATAACTTACCAAGACTGAACCAGGAAGAAATCCAAAACCTGAACAGACCAATAGTAAGTAATGAGACCAAAGCCGTAACAGAAAGTCTCCCAGTAAAGAAAAGCCTTGGACCCAATGGCTTCATTGCTGAAGTCTACCAAACATCTGAAGAACTAATACAATCCTACTTAAACTGTTCTGAAAAGTAAAAAAGAAGGGAATATTTTCAAATTCATTATATGAGGCCAGTATTACCCTGATTCCAAAACCAGACAAAGACACATCAGAAAAAGAAAACTGCAGGCCAATATCTCTAATGAACATTGATGCAAAAATCCTCCAGAAAATACTGCAAACCGAGGCCAGGCGAAGTGGCTCACGCCTGTAATCCCAGCACTTTGGGAGGCCAAGGTGGGCAGATCACAAGGTCAGGAGATTGAGACCATCCTGGCTAACATGGTGAAACCCCGCCTCTACTAAAAATACAAAAAATTAGCTGGGCGTGATGGTGGGCACCTGTAGTCCCAGCTACTTGGGAGGCTGAGAGAGGAGAATGGCATGAACCCAGGAGGCAGAGCTTGCAGTGAGCCCAGATTGCGCCACTGCACTCCAGCCTTGGCGACCACGTAAGACTCCGTCTCAAAAAAAAAAAAAAAAAAAGAAAATACTAGCAAACCGAATTCAACAATACATTAGAAAGATCATTCACCATGACCAAGTGGGATTTATCCCTGGGATGCAAGGATGGTTAAACAAATGTAAATTAATCAGTGTGATACATCATATCAACAAGATGAAGGACAAAAACCATATGATCATTTCAATTGATGCTGAAAAAGCATTTGATAAAATCAACATCCCTACATGATATAAACCCTCAAAAAACTGGGAATAGAGGAACATACCACAACATAATAAAAGCCATATATGACAGACCCACAGCTAGTATCATACTGAATGGGGAAAAACTGAAAACCTTTCCTCTAAAATCTGCAACATGACAAGAATGGCCATTTTCATCACTCTTACTCAACACAGTACTGGAAGTCCTAGCTAGAACAATCAAACAAACAAACAAAAAAGATACAACGTTCCAAACTGGAGAGGAAGAAGTCAAATTATCCTTATTTGCAGATGATATGATCTTATATTTGGAAAAACCTGAAGAATACACACACGCACACAAACCATTTAGAACTAATAAACAAATTCAGTAAAGTTGCAGGATACAAAGTCAACACACAAAAATCAGTAGCATTTCTATATGCCAAAAATGAACAATTCAAAAAAGTAATCCCATTTACAACAGCCACAAATTAAATTAAGTACCTCAGAATTAACTTATCCAAAGAAGATCTCTACAATGAAAACTATAAAATGCTGATGAAAGAAATGGAAGAGGACAGGAACAAATGGAAAGATATTCCATGTTCATGGATTGAAAGAATCAATATTGTTAAAATGTCCATACTGCCCAAAGCAATCTATAAATTCAATGGAATCTCTATCAAAATACCAATGACATTCTTCACAGAAACAGAAAAAGCAATCCTAAAATTTACGTGGAAACATAAAAGACCCAGAATAGCCAAAGCTATCCTTAGCACAAAGAACAAAACTGGAGGAATCACATTACCTTATTTCAAATTACACTACAGGGTTATATTAACCAAAACAGCATGGTACTGATAAAAACAGAAATATAAACCAATGAACAGAATAGAGAATCCGGAAACAAATCCACATACCTGCAAGAAACTCATTTTCAACAGAAGTGCCAAGACCATACACTGGGAAAAAGACAGTCTCTTTAATAAATGGTGCTGGGAAAACTGAACATCCATATGCAGAAGAATGAAATTAGACGTCTATCTCTCATCATATACAAAAATCAAACTAAAATGGATTAAAGACTTAACTCAAACACCTCAAACTATGAAACTATTACAAGAAAACACTGGAGAAACTCTCCAGGACATTGGTCTGGGCAAAAATTTCTTCGGCAATACCCTACTAGCATAGGCATCCAAAGCAAAAAAATGGACAAATGGGACACATCAACTTTAAAAGCTTCTACACAACAAAGAAAACCATCAACAAAGAGACAAAACACAGAATAGGAGAAAAAAATTGCAAACTACCCATCTGACAAACAACGCTATGAAAAAAAAAATCTAATAATCCAATAAAAAAATTGGCAAAAGATTTGAATAGACATTTCTCAAAAGACGTACAAATGGCAAGCAGGCATATGAAAAGGTGCTCAACACTGATCATCAGAGAAATGCAAATCAAAACTATGAGATATCATCTCATCCCAATTAAGATTGCTTTCTTCCAAAATACAGGCAATAACAAATGCTGGCAAGGATTTGGAGAAAAGGGAACCCTTGTACACTGTTGGTGGGAACGTAAATTAGTACAACACTATGGAGAACAGTTTGAAGGCTCCTCAACATTAAAAATACAGCTACTGGCCAGGCACAGTGGCTCATGCCTGTAATCCCAGAACTTTGGGAGGCTGAGGCGGGCGGATCATGAGGTCAGGAGATTGAGACCATCCGGGCCAACATGGTGAAACCCCGTCTCTACTAAAATTACAAAAATTAGCCGGGTGTGGTGGGGCATGCCAGTAGTCCCAGCTACTCAGGAGGCTGAGGCAGGAGAATCGCTTGAACCTGGGAGGTGGACGTTGCAGTGAGCCGAGATCGCACCACTGCACTCCAGCCTAGGTGACACAACAAGACTACATCTTAAAAAAAAAAAAATAGAGCCACTGTATGATCCAGCAATCCCACTGCTGGGTATATACTCAAAAGACAGGAAGTCAGTATATTGAAGAGATATCTACACTTTCATGTTTGTTGCAGCAGTGTTCACAACAGCCAAGATTTGGAGGCAACCTAAGTGTCCATCAACAGATGAATGGACAAAGAAAATGTGATACATATACACACTGGAGTACTATTCAGCCATAAAAAGGAATGAGATCCTGTCATTTGCAACCACATGAATGGAAGTGGAGATCATTATGTTAAGTATAAAAAGCCAGGCACAGAAAGATAAGCATATTTTCACTTATCTGCGGGACCAAAAAAGCCAAAATAATTGAATTCATTGACACAGAGAGTAGAAGGATGGTTACCAGAGGCTGGGAAATGTAGTGGAGGGGTGTGTGTGTGTGTGTGTGTGTGTTGGGGGGGATGTCTGATGAGTAAAAAATATTTAAAAGGAATGTATGAGACTTACTACTTGATAGTACAACAGGGTGACTATAGTCAATAATAACTTAATTGTACATTTTAAAATAAGAGTGTTATTGGATTGTTTGTAACACAAAGGATAAATGCTTCAGGGGATGGAGACCCGATTCTCCACGATGTGATTATTATGCATTGCATGCCTGTACGAAAACATCTCAGGTACCCGATAAATATATACACCTACCATGTACCCACAAAAATTAAAAATAAAAAAAAATAATAAAAAGGTATGCACACTAAAATTTCTGTTCTATGATACTAGGTTGCTAGCCAGAATATTTGTGGCCATTTATAATTCCACAAACTATGTATGAAAGTGCCTGACAGCCCATGCCCTTGCAACCCTTAGTAGTATAAAGGAAACCTGAGGCCAATTCTAGCACTATTACCACTAACAAATGTTGTGACTTTGGGCAAGCCAATTATATCTCTGGCCTCATTCCGCTTAGCTGTACAAGATGGTTAGATCAAATGTTTCTAGGGTTCTTTTCAATTCTAAGAGGTGATAAATATTTACATAGACTTTACAATTTTTCATTAGTCTAAACAGTTATTAACACTAATACTCATTTTTCATGTGGGCAACAAATTTGTATTCTTCTCCAGTTGCTACATACGTATTATTTTTATTTCCTTATTTTATTTTATTTGTACTATCATGCCCAGTTAATTTTTGTATTTTTTTAGTAGAGATGGGGTTTCACCATGTTGGCCAGGCTGGTCTCGAATTCCTGACCTCAAGTGATCCGCCTGCCTCAGTCTCCCAAAGTGCTAGGATTACAGGTGTGAGCCACTGTGGCCAGCCTATTTTCCTGTTTTAAAATATTAAAATAACTGAGAGAATTCTTGAGATTAGCATTAAGTGGTTAAAATCAGCTCTGGGTCTAAGATGAAAAAGACGAGATCATTGCAAAACTGATTAAAACAGCAACAAAATTAGGACTATCAGATGAACAATAATCAAAGTTAAACATACAGAAGTAAAACTGAAAATTACTAAAAGGTCTGCGTTTTCGTATAATAATCTAATACACAGCAACAGGAAAAAGGGGCATGGTAAACTGTTTCAAGCAGACATCACTAAGAATGCAGATTGGGGAACCATTCCAAACACATGAAGACAGACAAAAAAAATCTAGGATGTCATCAAAGAATTTATTTGGAAAAAAACATGGTGTGCAAATATTTACACAGATCTTCCAAATAATTTCCTCTTGTCTTATCCAGCAAACATGGGTATTTCTCAAAAACCTAAAACCACATCACCAATAGAAACCCAAAAACTGGAGTGGAAAACTCCAGAGAAAACTAGGAGTGGGAATAATCTACCTTTTCTACTTTTTCAGACCTTAAATTGTTGTTTCTTTAGAAAGAATTCATCTAAAGAACAAGAATCTTCTTTCCACTGGTAACAGTTGAGCCCCCTGACATTTAATACTGAACTATGCATTTATTCATTTACTATACGTTTACTGAGTGATTACATAAGTGCCAGATGCTGATGACTGTAAGAATGAACTATTAAACTAGTGGGGTGTGATGGTTGATACTGCGTGGCAACTTGATTGGATTGAAGGATACAAAGTATTGATCCCGGGTGTGTCTGTGAGGGTGTTGACAAAGGAGATTAACATTTGAGTCAGTGGGCTGGGAAAGGCAGACCCAGCCTTAATCTAGGTGGGCACCATCTAATCAGCTGCCAACATGGCTAGAATATAAAGCAGACAGAAAAATGTGAAAAGAGAGACTGGCCTAGCCTCCCAGCCTACATCTTTCTCCCGTGCTGCATTCTTCTTGCCCTCAAACATCGGACTCCAAGTTCTTCAGTTTTGGGACTCAGAGTGGCTCTCCTTGCTCCTCAGCTTGCAGACAGCCTATTGTGGGACCTTGTGATCACGTGAGTTAATACTTAATAAACTCACCTTTACATATATATTCCATTAGTTCTGTCCCTCTAGAGAACCCTAATACATGGAGAAATAAAATATTCATTCATTCTATCATTCAACAAATACTTGCTAAGTATCTACTAAGTGCTAGGCTGTTGTAGGCATGGCATCATATGGCAATGAACAAAATGAGGTCCTTGCATTCATGCAACTTAAATTCAGTAGGGGGAAAGAGAAAATCAACAAATAAACATAAATATGTAATAAAATGTCTGGAAGTAAAAGATGTACTACAAAAGAAAAATAGAGCAGAGAAAGGGTACTGAAAATGCCAAGAAATGCTATTTTAAGTTTGGGTAGTCAGGGAAGACTTCTGGCAGGGGTGACATTTGAACAGAGACCAGAGACCAAAACAAAGTAAAGGAGAGAGCAAGCAGATATCCAGAGACAAGGCATTCCAGGCAGAGGGACAAGCAAAGAGAAAAGATAATCTGGGCCATTATGATATAATGATGAAATGTATACAAGCTATCAATAACACAAAGACTGGAACAACTAATACACTTTGGAGGCATGAAGACAGTTTCTCAAGAGATGATGACAACTGCTTTGAGTAATAAAACATGGTTTGGAATTTGCAGAAACAAAAAAAGGAAAGAAGTATGTACTGCAAGCAAAAACAAAAAACATGTGAAAGACACGATGATATGAAAACACTACCATTTCCAAGGAATGGCAGGCAATTAAAGGTGTCTACAGCATAGGGAGAAAGTAACAAGAAAACTGAGAGTCAAGGATAGCAAGGCTGCCAAAAGTCATATTAGGTTGGTGCAAAAGTAATCACAGTTTTTGCCATTGAAAGTAATGATAAAGAGCACAGTATAGGATGATAAATAACTTCTGAACAATCTAAGTTTACAGTCTGCTTCCATATCAACTAGTGTGATTTTATTCTTTATAACAGATTGTATATATTATGTGCTATTACTCCTGGATGCCAGATTGTTTCCAAGAAATCCATGCTTGCCAACTCCTGGTTCCTCCTATCAGTGCATTTTCTACTAAGTATGTTCTCCTATCCCTTAGAGAAGATGAGAAAGTCTTCAGCCCATTCCAGCCCCAGGACGTATGGCAACAGACTCCTTTATACAGCTGTAGCCTTTCAAAACCAAGGCCCATCAACACTTGACCCAAGGAGCCAAGTTTCTGACCTCCAAGGGAGCCTTTTCCTTCCAGCTCTTTGTTTAGGTTAGAACTTCCACCAATACCACTTAATAAGTTTCCTGTACCTTTTTTCACAATCCTAAGTTTATTTATTTATTTTTTGCCCAATAAGCCAGCCTACACAGTTGGCTTTTATCAAGACAGCACCAAATGTTAGTAGATCACTTCTAGCTCTCTGGTCTCTCGTCACACAGCATTGATTTAACTCTAGCTGTTTTACTTCCCCTACAGAAATCAAATGCACAATCACAAAAAACAGCTAGAAATGGAAAGGAAATGTTCTTATGTCAGTGCCTCTTTTTTTCTTTTTCTTTTTTAAAACTAAGAGTAAAATAAACTGAAGCAACACTGAAGATTCTTGTTCTACTGCAGTGGTGGACCATGTGTTCCTGTGCTCTGGGTAATGCTGAGATTGGCAGAGGGCAGGGTGCTGACAGCAGTTAGGGAAAAATCTATTAAGCAATGTCACTGTTCCCAGTTGAGCAAAGTCCATACCAAGGAGGGAGTGAAGGAGCAGAGAAGCAAGATTTTGGTTTGCCTGGCAGAGTATTTCTCCAGCACACTGTCTGCTGATTCATCCTCTCCCACTCATTACGTTAGTGCTTTGATGAATCAAATCACCTCTGCCCTTCAAAGTAACAGCCCAGAAGCACTCAAATATAAGGATAAGGCTAAAGCCATTTCTGTTAGAGAGAACAAGAATTCACTACCAGAAGTTGCAGGTAAATCTAGAATCCATTTAGGGCTTTCCTTGTGTACACCAAAAATTATCAGTACTACCAACTGTTGATAATTATTGAATGCTGAGACCAATATTTTACTGTAATCTTAAAAGTCAGAGTTAGATTAGTTTGCCATGAGGTTCCATTCTTTCAGCAAATGGTTAATGAGTGCCTTATATATATGAGCACATAACCTGTTTGATCTCACAGGTTCACAGCTGGAGAGCAATTTGCCTCAAGGTGAATCATAACTTGAGTCTCACCCATACCCGATTTAGATATTTAAACGAGACTCTGCACTTCAGATTTTCAAGTTGATGCTGGAACAAGTTAAGACTTTTGGGGCTACCAAGATGAAATGAATGTATTTTGCATGTGAGAAGGACATGAATTTTGGGACACCAGGGTGTATTAGTCAGGGTTCTTCAGAGGGACAGAACCAACAGGAGATATATATATATATCCCATATATATATATGGGAATTTATTGGGGAGAATTGGCTCACATGATCACAAGATGAAGTCCCACGATAGGCCATCTGCAAGCTGGGGAAGAAAGAAGCCAGTAGTGGCTCAGTCGGAGTTCAAAAGCCTCAAAAGCAGAGACGCCTACAGTGCAGCCTTCAGCCTGTGGCCAAAAGCCCAAGAGCCCCAGCAAACCACTGGTGTTAATTCCAAGAGTCCAAAGGCCGAAGAACCTGAAGTCTGAGGTCCAAAGGCAGGAGGAACAGAAGGAAGCATCCAGCGTGGGAGAAAGATGAAAGCCAGAAGCCTCAGCAAGACAGATAATCCCATCTTCTTCTGCCTGCTTTGTTCTAGCGGTGCTGGCAGCCGACTGGATGGTGCCCACCTACATTGAGGGTGGGTCTTCCTCTTCCAAGTCCACTGACTCAAATGTCAGTCTCCTCTGGCAACACCCTCACAAACATATGCAGAAACAATGCTTTACCTGCTATCTAAGCATCCTTCAATCCAACCAAGTTGACACCTAATATTAACCATCACACAGGGACAGAATGCTATGTTCTGAATGTTTATTCCCTCCAAAATTCATATATTCAAACTTAATCTCAAATTCAGTATTTAGATGTGGGACCTTTAGGAGGTGATCAGGTCATGAGGACTCCATCTCCATGAATAAAATTAGTAATATTTATAAAAGAGGCCTGAGGAAGCTTGTTAGCCTCTTTGCCCTTCCTCCATGTGAGGCACAGCTATCAGGTACCATCCTGAAGCAAAGTGAGCCTTCATGAGACACTGAATCTGCTGGCAACTTGATCTCAGAGTTCCCAGTCTCCAGAACTGTGAGCCATAAAATAATGTCGTTTATAAATTACCCAGTCTAAGGTATTTTGTCAATCATTTAGCTGAGACATCAAGA
Source organism: Homo sapiens (assembly GCF_000001405.40). Lineage (NCBI taxonomy): Eukaryota > Metazoa > Chordata > Mammalia > Primates > Hominidae > Homo > Homo sapiens. The sequence continues at coordinate 94,506,314 of NC_000004.12, read as the reverse complement.
ACATTACGTGCAATTCAGTATCAGAGAAACAATCACCATCAGAACACAGAAAGATCCATAAATTATATCATACTAGGAATTACTTTAAATATGATGGCGTTGAAAAGACTGAATTACTGTGTTTTACAGAGCAGTACTTCCCACACTTGGCTGATCAAAATCTGTGATACTATGAAATACATATTTGGTCCACTTTCCTAGCTTACAGCTCCTAAAATCCTTGAAATCTAATGATAGAAGTGTCTTTTGTATGCTAATGAGATGATAGTGGCTGGGGGCCCCAGGTAGCTTCAGGATGGAGGCTGGTCACCAGAAAGACCAAGGCATGATAAGTTTGGGACTTTCAGCCCCACCTCCAACCTCTAGGAAGGGAAGGGGGCTGAAGTTTGAGTTGATCACCAATGGCCAATGACGTAAGCAATCATAACTACATAATGAAGCCTCCTTAAAAACCCACAAGGACTAGATTCAGAGATCTTTTGGACAGCTGAACACCTGGAGGCACCTGGAGGGTGGCTCCCAGAAAGGGCATAGAAGCGCTGTTCCCCTTTTCATACGCCCTGCCCTGTGCATCTCTCCCATCTGGCTGTTCGTCTGTACTGTTTTGTAACATCCTTTATAATAAATGGGTAAATGTAAGTAAAGTGTTTCCCTGAGTTTTGTGAGCATCTCTAGAAAATTAATTGAACCCAAGGAAGGAGTCATGGGACCCAGCAATTTATAGCCAGTTGATCAGAAATATAGGTGACTTCCAGCCATGCGTGGTGGCTCATGCCTGTAATCCCAGCACTTTGGGAGGCTGAGGTGGGCAGATCACTTGAGGCTAGAAGTTCAACATCAGCCTGGCCAATATGACAAAACCCTATCTCTACTAAAAATTCAAAAATTAGCTGGGCATCATGGTGGCGCACAACTGTAATCCCAGCTACTCGGGTAGTTGAGGCACAAGAATCGCTTGAACCCAGGAGGTGGGGGTTGCAGTGAGCTGAGATCACGCCACTGCACTCCAGCCTGGGTGATGGAGCAAGGCTGTTTCCAAAAAAAAAAAAAGTGACTTAAGACTGGCATCTGAAATGTGGAGCAGTCTTGTAGGACTGAACCCTCAATCTGTAAGATCTAAGGCTATCTCCAGGTAGGTAGTGTCAGAATTGAATTGCAGTACACCCGGCTGGTGTCCACTGGAGAAATGACTGGTTGGTGTATGGGGAAATATCCCCACATGTCTATTGTCAGAAGTGTTGTGCTGAATGGTGTGAAAATAGGAAAAACACTTTGGTTTTATCCCCACCACCCCACTGCCCATCTCTTTAAAATCTCTCAGGGCACTGTTATAAAATTCAGACTATGCAAACTCATTACAAGAAACTTGGTTTAGAAAGTCTCAGTGAGGACCCAGGAATCTAATAATCCTCTAAGTAAGAACAGTGGTTATGAGTGCAAGTTCCAGAAAGAAAGATTTCAATACTCAGCACAGTTCAGAGTTTGGAAACATTCAGAACATTCCAAAAATAAAAACAGTCTTCAATGCAAAGTAATGAGATTCCTGGGTATGTCTAAACACAAGGCAGACAACCACAAGCCCTGAGTACTGAACAGAAGACATGAATCTGAAAATGAGAAACAGATTATGTATTTAACAAGTTACTGGTGCATAAATGACCAGACACAAGAGCACCATTACACAATTTCAGTTACATATGGTAGTCTTTCTCCATGAAAATAGCGTAACGGGCCAGGCACGGCGGCTCACACCTGTAATCCCAGCACTTTGGGAGGCCAAGACGGGCAGATCACGAGGTCACGAGACGGAGACCATCCTGGCCAACATGGCGAAACCCCATCTCTACTAAAAATACAAAAATTAGCCAGGCGTGGTGGCGCACACCTGTAATCCCAGCTACTCGGGAGGCTGAGGCAGGAGAATTGCTTGAACCCGGGAGCGGAGGTTGCAATGAGCCGAGATAGTGCCACCGCACTCCAACCTGGTGACAGAGTGACACTCTGTCTCAAAAAAAAAAAAAGAAAGTCGCACAACCATGAAGTTCTGATTCTCATTACACATCATAGTGATTTCAATCAGATCACAAACTTTTTTTTGCTTTTTTGTAGAAAATGCTATAAAATGAAATGTGAGCTTCAATCTAGTTAATAGGAACCTGGATTTATATTACTAAAATGAATAATAAACTTAATTTCAAAAGAAAATACTAAAATACCTTTCTATTAGACTGTGATAACACTAGTAAATGATTGAAACAAGGGAGTAGGAGGTCTCCTAGCCAAACAGAATTCTGATTATCCAGGGTATTGTATTATTTCTAAACAGGATATTTAAATTGTCCCATAAAGATGTAATAGTAATGACTCCAAATGGGAATAAAAAGATGTGATAGCTAAACACAGTCAATTTCCCTATCATTCTGCATATAATAAATGTAAGCTCACGTTAAGTAACTTGATGCTAGCCAAAATCACAACCTGCTATTTATGAGCTAACAGAAACAAGCAGAACACAGTGAGAATATAAAAGGGGTAGAACTCTGAGTGGTCAACAGTTAGATGTTCAAATGACCTTTCTTGCTTGTTTGATGGAGAAAAAAGTCTGAGGTATCAACGTTGGAAAATAAATCAGATGTTTGGGTTTTTTAAAATAGGACAATCATCAGAAACTAAATGGTTTGATTGGCAATGAAAGAAATCCTTCTGGTGGCCAAGTGACAGGCACATCGGAGGAGAAACTTGGCAGTTCTCTAAAATAAATTCACACATGAACTGGACAATATTACTGCTCTTCTTGTCCCAATGTGAAGCTCTACTATCAAAACCATCTTCCTACTACACGATGAGAGGCTATTCTAAAACAGTATTATTTAGGAAAAGTCAGTGAAAAATACCCAAGTTATTCAAAAATTCTACTGGCTAAAGACAGATTAAGAAATCCTCTTGCAGTAATAATTTAAACACTGAATTAATATTCAGTATCCAAAAAGTTATTTCAAATCGGAGTACACCAGTCACTGAATTATCGTCCTGAGTTTGCTCAGCAGTTTAAGCAGTTTAGGTGGTGAGGGAGATGAGGAAGTGTAGACTATATAAAGTAATTTGCTTGCCACCCTAATAATTTACCTTTCTATGCCTCTGTTTTGTGACTATCAGTTACAGGGGGACATGGGAAATAATTTAAGTAATACCCAACATATCCTATATCTCTAAACTTGAAAACAGAAAGACAATCATTACCAAAAATGTCTGTCTACGAATTAAAACCAACATTTTCAAAATAACAAACTAGAAAGGAAAAAACCTTACCAAAGCTCGCCCTGCAAAATATATGGCTAGTACCTACAGCAGTGGCAACAATCACAAAGATATCTATTTCAATATGCTTCCTGGATAGTTAGATGTTTTACATGTATTAACTTTTTTTTTTCTTTTAATGAGGTGGAGTCTCACTCCATTGTCCAGGATGAAGTGCAGTGGCATGATCTTGACTCACTGCAACCTCTGCCTCCTGGGTTCAAGCAATTCTCCTGCCTCAGCCTCCCGAGTAGCTGGGATTACAGGTGCATACCACCCCGCCCGGCTAATTTTTGTATTTTTAGTAGAGATGGGGTTTCACCATGCTGGTCAGGCTGGTCTAGCACTCCTGACCTCAAAAGATCCACCCACCTCGGCTTCCCAAAGTGCTGGGATTACAGGTGTGAGCCACTGCGCCCGGCCTTAACTTACTTAATCTCATAAAAATCCTATGGAGTAGATACTTTTATCCTCAATTTGTAACTGAGAAAACAAGATGGAAAGAACTTAAGTTGCTAGTCTAAGGTCACAGAGCTAAAGATCACAGGGCTGGGGCTGGAACCCAGGCAGTGTGACTCCAAAGCCCATCTCATGACCACCATGTGGGCTGCCGCTTACCCTACACATCATTGCCATCCTCCCTCCTGAGATAACACATTTGACACATTGCACATTTGATTCTTTAACAGTTGAATCCCTCAATCTCACTATCTGTTCTTCCTACTTAAATATAGTAGGCTGGATAAGTCAGGAGTTTTCACTCTCTTAAAGCCTAACTCTAGATGGCTGCCCTGATTAACTCTCGGTATGTCTCTTCTAGCTTCCAGGAGAAACACAGCTATTTCCAAACATCACACAAGCTTCAAAACAAATTTCCTCAGTCACAAATTCTAACCACCTAGACCAAAAAGGAAGAGAGAAAAGGAAGCAGAAGAAGAGTAGGAATAAGGGAAAAGGGGAGAGAAATGAAGAAAAAGAAGGAAACGAAGAGAGAAAAGTAGCAGAAAAGGCAGAGCCCCCAAAGTCCCCTTTCTTCATTCTATAAATCTCTGCAGTTCTCCTACTGAACCTTACTCCATAACCCCATTAGTAGGCTCATCCAGAGAGGAAAGAAGTCAGCCTTCTGAGTTTTTCTCCCATCCCTGATGGGTATCACTATTTCTTCCCAATATTTTTATTTTGGTGGGAAGATCTTCCTTGGTATGCCCTTGATGAATGATGATGGAAGTCTATCTCTGAGAAGAGGGAGGTTGGTTGAGTGAGGGAGGAATAAGAAGATCTCAAATATGATTGAAAAATGAAATAATATAGAGCACAGCTTCTCAAACTGTGAGGATTGTCAGTCTTTTAAAGTCTCCAATCTGTTTCAGGCTAATACTTTAGTAAAATACAACAAAAACCAAGTTATCAGAAAAATGAACTCTAAAAAACTATAAAATACAGGCCCCAAATTCTTATTATTAGATTCAACAGACATAAAATTACTGTCAAATTGCTATAAAAATTTCTAAATTCTTACTCTCAATTTCTGAACTTATGTTGTCATAAACTGACAAATCCACAGGCAGCACTTTGATTAGCACTACACTGGAACAGCAAAGACCATTTTTTATGCCCTCAATGCCATAAAATTAGGCAGGGTACAGTAGCTCACGCCTGTGATACCAGCACTTTGGGGGACCCAAGTGGATAGACTTTTTGAGCTCAGGAGTTTGAGCCCAGCCTGGGCAACATGGCAAAACCCCATCTCTACAAAAAATAAAATAATATTAAAAAGATTAGCCAGGCATAGTGGCACACACCTGTAGTCTCAGCTACTCAGGAGGCTGAGGTGGGAGGATCGCTTGAGCCTGGGAGGTCGAGGCTGCAGTGAGGTGTGTTCCTGCCACTGTACTCCAGCCTGGGCAAGACCTTGTCTGAGAAAAAAAAAAAAAAAGGCCAGGTATAGTGGCTCACACCTGTAACTCCAGCACCTTGGGAGGCCAAGGTGGGTGGATCACTTGAGCCCAGGATTTGGAGACCAGCCTGGCCAACATGGCGAAACCCTGTCTCTACAAAAAATACAAAATTAACTGAGCATGGTGACACATGCCTGTAGTCTCAGTACTGGGAAACTTGAGATAGGAGGACCATTTGAGCCTGGGAGGTGGAGGGTGCAGTGAGCCAAGATCACGTCACTGCACTCCAGCTTGGGAGACAGCCAGATTCTGTCTAAAAATAAATAAATAAATAAATAAATAAATAAAATCCATAAACTTTGAAAGAAATAAATTTAGAAAAATATTCTTCCTAGGAATATTACCAGGAAGGAGCAGACACGATTATCAGCAACTTTTTAAAAAGTCTTCTTTATACTTTGTATTTTAAAAATTAGAAGTAAATAAAAGAACTAAAAAATACTATTTTAGTTGCTATCACTTCTTTTATGGAAAATAAAGACCGGAATTCTCAAAACACCTTTTCTGCCCCTTTTCATGCTTTCTTTGTTCTTCTTCCCCTCTCTAGTCTGCCATCAATTCCCCAGTGAAAAAATGAAAAATGCCTGTATAACTTACATAAAACTTTCCTGAGGCCAAATATTGTGAATATCAATCCTCTAGTTTAAGACTTGGTAAAATGTTAACTGTTATATGAATATCCCTTTGGCTGAAAATGAAGGAATTCACAAATATTAATAAAGTTCACAGCTTTTCAAAAATTCTTACAAGGTTTCAGATGCTCTGAAAGGGGTTGCTTTTGCTAACAGGTGCAGAAACTTAATCAGAAAAAATTATACTTTGAGTTATCAAAGTACAGAGAGTCACCACTGTCAAAGTGATACCACTTCTAGATTCTCTACTATGTACAAGGTTTTTACATTAAAAGCGTCTGTCTAATGAAAGGAAATACATACAGTTCTTAAAATATATGAAAAGTATGGTCATGCTGGGTATCCTCAGGGGATTGGTTCCAAGACCCCCTGCAGATACAAAATTCTACAGGTGCTCAAGTCCCTTAATCAGCAGTCCGAACCTTTTTGACACCAGGGACTGGTTTCATGGAAGACAATTTTTCCACAGGTGGGTCAGGGGGAGGGGAGGATGGGTTACAGTTTCAGGATGAAACTGTTCTACCTCAGATCATCAGGCATTAGATTCTCATAACGAGCCTGCAACCCAGATCCCTTGCACGTGCAGTTCACAATAGGGTTCGTGCTCCTCTGAGAATCTAATGCCACTGCTGGTCTGAGAATCTAATGCCACTGCTGGTCTGACAGGAGGCGGAGCTCAGGTGGTAATGCTCACTCACCTGCCACTCACCTCCTGCTGTGCAGCCTGGTTCCTAACAGGCCATGGATCTGTACCCATCCATAACCCGGGGACTGGGGACTAGTGCCTTATATAAAATGGCATAGTATTTGTATATAACCTACACGCATCTGCCTATATACTTTAAATCATCTCTGGATTACTTGTCATGCTTAACACAATGTAAATGCTATGTAAACTGTTGTTATACAGTATTAGGTTCTTTTCTTTGTATTTTTTATTGTTACATTGTTTTTCTTCCAAACATTTTCAATCCACAGATGCAGAACCTGCAAATATAGAAGACTAATATAATATATATTTTTCACCTATGTGTTTGTTGTAGCTTTTGTTAGAACCTTATGAATATATGACTTATTCAATAAATAAATAAATGAAAGTTTCCATTTATTTCCAAGAAAGGGGTGAAAAAATACAGATAATTACTTTTTTCCTCCATTTTATATTTTTTCTCTCTTGTAATTAAATAAAGACCTGTGGTTATTGTAACAGTAAAATATAATATGCATGTCTCTTAATTATAAGAAAGACTTTATTTTTCAGAGAAGGCTTCGCTTTTTCCAGAAATATCTATTAACATAAATTATATTTTGGTGACCATTTGGTCTAACCAATCTTATCTCAAATTATTTTGAAAGTGTTCAAGTTCTCATTCATATGGTCTACTAAAGTAGACCACAATACCCAACCCTAAATACTTCCATAAAATAATTTGTGATTCACATTTTTACCATTAACAGCTACATTTTTACCGTTAACAGCTTTTATACCTATTGTTTGAGCAATCTGCTAAATGAGAATAAAATATCAGATAGTTATAATTATGAAGTCACATAATAAAGTAAAACAGGCTTTATAAAAAAATTTAATTGCCTTGTGAAAGGTCACACATGAAGGATTAAAGAACCTACTTTTCCAAAACACAAATGTGAGAGGAGGAGAAAAACCCTCAAAACTTTACTTATGATTCAGAGGTCTTCCCACCCACATCAGTTTCCCCTCCTCATCTTACAGTGGATGCACACATGCATTCATTCATTCTGTACACATCCATTAAGCATCAAAGAGGCAATGGGAAATGGCAATACAGCAGTGAACAACAACAACGAAAATGCAAGTGTTGCCTTGTGAAGTTAGTATAGAAAGTAATTAAATAATTAGTAAAATTTCAGTATTTAAATACAATTCTCATAAATGTGCTACTTCTTTAATGCAAGGTATTTTGAGAAGTGACATGCATGTCTCAACTAGTCTAGGAGTCAACCAGGTTAGTTCCTCAGAAAGTCCAAGTGTTAGCTAGGCAGAAAGAATTTCAAAAAGAAGACCCATATGTGTGAAAGTCGTGAACTGTGAATATGTCATTATGATAGCAAAAGTTTTTTAAATGAAATATGAAAACACAAAAGCATCTCTATTAAATAAATTTATTTTTCATTTTCAGCCATGGGTGAAAGACTTCTGCAATTACTCCTGGGGAAGTGATTTTAAATTTAGCCACTGAATTTAAATGAGGAATAAATGTTACAGTAGTGTCCCTCAGCAAGTACAATACAAATGAGCCCGCTTCTTAAAGCACAAATACTTGGTTTCTCAATGCTGAGCCCTGATCCGAAAGCCCAGGTCAATCCTCATGTGGATTACTGGCTGAATATCTAGGTTTAGCTAAGCAGTGAGAAAATAACTCTTTTGGTTCTTCAGAAAGGATTTTCCAACAACAACTGTAACAGTGTAGTTTTTCCTCTCAGGACACAGAACAAGTTAAAACTTCCCTTACAAACAGGTATCCTGAGTTCCTTCTCTCAGCATCCAAAGCCTTCTCAACAGCTACATGCTGTCCAGCACGTAGCTACCCATTCAATCTTGCAGTTTTAAAGAGACAAATGTTGGTAGCTCACAGTGGCCCAAAATCTCCTAAGATTTGAACTACAGGATGGCCCATTAGATATACATTCTAATGGGCAATATATCGTTCACACACAGTTAACACAAAACATTTCAGTTTTTTAAATGAAGCTGTTTCATTCTGTCTACATAATCTTTTTGATGACATGCACTGAAGACAAACCAAACTACAAACAGGCTTTAAGACAGAATAGTTCAAGTAGATGTTTTTTCCCTTTATCTCTCCAATAGCAATGTCAAGGTAGCCTCAGAAAGATATCTTAAAAGATGAGCATAATCAATTTATTTTTCCAAAATGAATTTTGTATTATAAAATCAATAATCATATCATGTTTTATATAGTTCAGTGAGTGTAAGTCCTTCCTCTACTTTTTACTTCTATTAGGATACTTATATTAGGTGTCTGAATTATTATTTTCACCTCTTTAAATAAAAAGTAGTCATTACTATTAGGATGAAAAATCAATTAATTATCTTCTCAACTTTAAAATACTAAGCAGAAAGATTTTACTGATCATAAGTATATTACTGTTAAGACATGCCCTCATAATGCTGAGCAACATCATTAGGGATACAAAAGCCATCAAGGAAAAGTGCTAATTCAATTCAATCCATTTACAATGCCTTCTTTTGAGATAGATAATACATAGGACAAAGAATCACATGTAAAGCAGCCTTCAAAAAATGAAAACTGCACCCAAGTATAGTCTTAAGCAATTCTTAGATCACAATTCACCCATTTGGTGTAAGCTTAAAAGTGTCAAACTTGCTTGGCATAAACCTTCTAAAATCAGGAAGTCTCAAATTTTAATGCCTTTTTATGCACTACCATCAATAAAAATTTACAGGGCAACTACACTATAATGAAAAACATAATTTTAGATAAATCCAATATTTCTGGAACTACTTCAATGTACAGGCTGTTATCTACTTATGCTCTCATTTTTAGGATTAAGTCAAATGGAACCTAAAATTAGCAGTGAATTGTCAGTTCATTAGGTCAAATGTGCATCTGGGCTGGGCGGGGTGGCTCACACCTGTAATCCCAACACTTTGGAAGGCCAAGGCCAGCAGACTGGAACGCAAGCCCAGGAGTTCTAGGCCAGCCTGGGAAACATGGTAAAACCCTGTCTCTACAAAAAATATAAAAATTAGCCAGGCATGGTAGTGCACACCTGTTGTCCCAGCTACTTGGGAGGTGGAGGTGGGAGGACTGCTTGAGCCCAGGAGGCAGAGGCTGCAGTGAACAGAGATTGTACCACTGCACCCTAGCCTGGGCAACAGACTGAGACTGTGTCTCTTAATTAATAAATAAACAAATAAATAAATAAAGTGTGCATCTGGCAAACTGTTCACCCAGATATTTCCTGGGCATTAGTCTGTTGGCGAAAGCAGCCCCCAAATGATTCAACCTAATGCATTAGTGATATTCAAGGTATAAGAGGAATAAAGCAATCCCCAGATTTCACTTGGAAAAAATCTTGTACTGATCATCATTAAAATGACCTCTAATATATTTATCAATTTAATAAGACTTCCAGAAGAATTCTAAAATTATTTTTTTACCTACAAAATAAGTAATACATTCATTTCTACTTAACAGTCAAATGACTCAAATTTTTAAAAATTTCCTAGACAATTGGTTATATGTAAATCATCTGTTTTTGCTACTTGATGAACAAATCTGTAAGCCTAGGGTAGATGGACAAATAACTACAATGCCAAACCTTGTTTTTTGGTTTTTTTTTTTGCTAGAAATGTCACATATTCTTTAATGAAGCTGACTGTGAAGTCCCCATTCCTCTGAATTGAGGGAAATTCAATTTTAGCCATTGTTAGAGTTTTCTCTCCTCTCTTCCCTCTCCCAAGGACATATAAAAATCCTTAAGTTCCTCTGCATAGCAGGCTATTCAGGAAGACCCCTCTGGCAACTGGTCCATGGTCATCTTTCAAACTGACTGTCATCTTTCAAGCTCACACAGCTCCATGAAAATTGAAAACTCTCTGCAACTACATCATACGTGAGTTCAGGAACTTCTGCACCTGCAAGCCTTGCTTCTGGTGTGTACCCCCCTGGAAAGCATGAGCCATTCCTCACTGGGGGCCTCCTCCCTCCCTGGAATGGTTTAAGGGAGTGGGGCTCTGTCCTTAGTAATATGCATCATGATCTTCTTACCATTCCAGTTACAGCTCAGAAGTCACTTCTGCAGGGAGGCCTTCCCTGACCACAGAGCATACCATGCCTGTTCCTAGCATATGCATCTTTATCTTCAAAGCGGCCAAACCTTTTTTTTTTTCAACTAAGCTCCATTTTAATTTTGTCATTCTACCTAACAGGAGATGTTGTTAAGGTCAACATCTGATAGACAGTTACTGCAACTTAAGAAGTCTTAAGAAAAATTTAAAAGTAAAGTTTAACAGGATACTTTACAATTTTAAACAGTAAAATACCATGCTTACACAGTTGTGTCATTAGATAGTATAAAACTCGGAAACAAATAATTTTAATATGTGTGTTTTTGTCATGTATGTTCACAAACACAAGTAGAACCTTTAGTATAATCCTAGTAAGAGTATGATCACAATTAACAAGCTTTTAAAGTTGAACACAGTATTACTATGAAAGATATACTGTAGAATATAATACTGACGGGAAACCTGATTTGGTCCAAGCATAAAGTTAGTGTTAAGGAGAACCACTATTATATGTCAGAAACAGTGGTCAGTTCTAGAATTCAGTGACGAATATATAAAACATGGTCGGGCCGGGCATGGTGGCTCACGCCTGTAATCCTAACATTTTTCGGAGGCCAAGGTGGGTGGATTGCTCAGGAGTTCAAGACCAGCCTGGGCAACAAAGTGAAACCCCGTCTGTACTAAAATACAAAAAAATTATCCGGGCGTGGCGACGTGCACCTGTAATCCCAGCTACTCGGGAGGCTAAGGCAGGAGAATCGCTTGAACCAGGGAAGCGGAGATTGCAGTGAGCCGAGATTGCACCATTGCACTCCAGCCTGGGTGACAGGGCAAGACTCTGTCACAAAAAACAACGATAGCAAAAAAACTGTGGTCAGGCACGGTGGCTCACATCTGTAATCCCAGCACTTTGGGAGGCCGAAGCAGGTGGATCACTTGAGGTCAGGAGTTTGAGACCAGCCTAGCCAACATGGTAAAACCCTGTCTCCATTAAAAATACAAAAATTAGCCGGGCATGGTGGCAGGAGCCAGTAATCACAGCTACTCAGGAGGCTGAGGCAGGAGAATCGCTTGAACTCAGAAGGCAGGGGTTGCAGTGAGCAGAGATCACACCATTGCACTCCAGCATGGGCGACCAGAGTGAAATTCCGTCTCAAAAAAAAAAAAAAAAAAAAAAAACAAGAAAAAAAAAATTAGTGAATGCTCAGGATAAACTTGTATTTAGGTGTTGAAACTGAGAAAGATTTCATTAAGAAGGGCCATATTGATTGAAGCCTTAAAAAATATACAGAAATTTCAAGGTATACATGCAGAAGCGCATGAAGAAATGCAGCTATAAGTCTTGGCTGGGCACAGCACCTCAAGCCCATGATCCCAACACTTTGGGAGGCTGAAATGGGAGGACTGCTTGAGGCCGGGAGTTGGAGACCAGCCTGGGTAACAGAGCAAGACCCCATCTCCACAAAAAAATAACAAAAACAATAATTCACCATGCATGGTGGTGCATGCTGATAGTCCCTACTACTCGGGAGGCTGAAGTGGGAGGATCACTTGAACCCAGCAAGTAGAGGCTACAGTGAGCTACAATTACACCACTGCACTCCAGCCTGGGTGACACAGTGATATCCTGTCTGGAGAAAAATAAAAAAGGCTTAGCAATACAGGAGGAACATGTATTAGAGGGAGAGAAAAATTACACCAACCTGCAAGATATGAAAGTAGTCTGGAGTCAAGTACGTAGTCAAAATCTAATGTATACAGTGAGAAGGCAGATTACAATAGTCTATGAAAAATGTACACTTCTAAACATTTTTCTGACTCTTAAATGCTCCCACTGTTGGAGTATAATCTTTCTTGAGGGCATTTTAGCAATAATTATCAAAAAATATAAAAATACATAAACTTTTGGCCCCAATAATTATACCTCTTGGTTTACCCTAAGGAAATTAACAAATAAGACTGCAGAATATTTAAAGCAGCAGCTTTTATAATACTAAATTATCATCTTTATGGTATAGAGTTTTAAAAATTATCATACATTCAAGAAATTATTATTCAGCAATTAAAAGGGTCATTGAGACTAACCTGGGCAATATGATGAAACTCCGTCACTACCAAAAAAATTTTTAAAAATTTATCCAAGCATGGTGGCCCAAACCTGTAGTCCCAGCTACTCGGCAGGCTGAGGTGGCAGGATCATGTAAGCCCAGAGACAGAGGTTGCAGTGAGCTGAGATCTCGCCACTGTACTCTAGCCTAGGTGACAGAGTGAGACTCTGCCTCAAAAAAAAAAATCCATCAAGAAAATGAAAAGATAATCCACAGAATGAAAGAAAATCATGTACATGAAAAGGGACTTGTATCTAGAATATAGTTTTAAAAAACTTACTACTCTATAATAGAAAAATCATAATTTTTAAATAGGCAAAAGATCCGAATAGCAATTTCTCCAAACAAGATATACAAATGTCCAATAAGCACATAAAAAGATGCTCAATATCATTAGCTATCAGGAAAATGCAAATAAAAGCACAATGATACCACTTCATGCTCACCAAGATGACTACAGACAATAACAAGTGTTGCCATGTTATATGGAGAAAGTGCAGCCCTCATACACTGCTGGTGGGAAGTTAAAATGGTGCACCCAGTTTGGAAAATAGTCTCATAGTTCCTCAAATAGTTAAACATAGAATTACCATATGACCCACTAATTCCTCTCCTAGGTCTATACCTAAGAGCAATAAAAATATCTGTCAACACAAAAATTTGTGCACAAATGTTCACAGCAGCAGGATTCACAATAGCAAAAAAGTGGAAACTACCTAAATGACCACCAACTGATGAATGAATAAACATATGATAACACAATGGAATATTATTCTGCAATAAAAAGGAGTAAGAAACCGGTATTATGCTGTAATAAAGATGAACCACAAAAACATTATGGTAAGTGAAAAAAGCCAGACATAAAAGGACACATATGATTCCATTTATATGAAATACCCAGAATAGGTAAATCCGTAAAGACAGAAAACAGACTGATGGCTGCCAGGAGAAATGGGGAGTAAATACTCAATGGGTACCAAGTTTCCTCTTGGAGTAATGAAAATGTTTTGTAATTAGATAGAGGTGGTCACACAATACTGAAAATACCAAAATGCCACCGAATTATACACATTAAAATGGTTAATTTCATGTTATGTAAACTTCACCTAAATTTTAAAAACTACCACAGTGCATGCACACTGCATGTGGAAGATCCTAATAAATTCATTCCAATCAGAAAGAGAGAAAACAGGATGGGGAGAGAAAAAAAAAAGAGAGGAAGTATAATTCAACACAAACTCAGTTAATTCCAACACATTCTCTTATAATAAAAATGTGGAGTACCTTTCAAGCTAGCAAACACATTGAAGATCCTGCTTCATAAATTTAAATTGGTCCTCTCTCTTATCCATTAACTCATGGGAAATGGGAAAAGAAAAACAATTCTTAAAGCTGAAAAAAGTGTATCAGCATTGACTATTATACAAATTACTTTTAAAGGAGGACATTGAGGGGAGGGAATAGGGAGTTACTGGTCAAAAGATACAAAGTTTCAGACAGACAGGAGAAATAAGTTTTGAGACCTATAGCACAGCAGGATGACTACAGTCAATAATAACGTATATTTGAAAAAACTAGGAGAATAAACTTCAAATGTTTCACCACAAAAAAAAGATAAGTAATTGAGGTAGAGGGATATGCATTAGATTGCATTAATCATTCCACATTGTTTACATATATCAAAACATCACATTGTACTCCATAAGTATAGAATTAAGATATGTCAATTAAAATATTATTTAAAAATGAAGGGAGAATATTTTAAAGTAGGTTAAAGATTTCTATCATATTATAAAAATGATATTCCTTCCTTTATCTGATTCCGGCACAAGAAACCCCTAACTTCCATGAGTCAGAGGTGATAAAATGCACATTCACCTTACCAATGCTGTAAAAAAAAATCAACACAGCTGATGCTTCTCAGTTGTAAAGGCTGTGAAACTTACTTTTCATTGAAAATCTCGAAAGGCATGAAAGAATAGCAGCATAATATGAAAGTGATGAATTCATCCAGTTAACAAGGCCCTAAAAGATACATTCCAAAGAGATTATTCAATATTCAATTTGTTCTCAGTCCAAAAAGGAAAGGAAACTGTCCCAGGATTTAAATAGAACTGGAAATAGTAAAAGGTTCTATAATATGATAATGTTAACTCTAAAATATTAGATAAGGATAATCAATGTCAGAGTTAAAAATCTCTGGAAAGAAATGATTTAATCAAACACCTGAATACCTCAAAAGCTTAGAAGAAGGTTAAGTTTCTTCTCTAAAGTACAAATGCTAGGTGCCAGTTAAATCAATCCCCTTAGCAGTCGGAATCAGCATTTGGCTTTGCTCTGAATAAGGTGATGATCATCAGTTTTCCCACAATGAAACAGTGACTGTATCTCTCAATTAATATATCAAAGATTTCTGTTAGTAAACACAAACAAGGTCCACACTAGCATATGAAAATTCCCAGTGGGAATAGATATGTTGCTTTATGATAGAGGTAGGGTATAATGAGTTTTTTGACAAATAAAGTTGTATAAGAAACAATGGTATACAGTCATTTTATATTATAGTACAAAATTCACATTCACATAGCAGTATAAAAATAACTAGTCATGGAACTGAAAAGTATATTAAGAAAGCACTCCTATGCTCTTCTGGGTAAACCCAAATTAATTTATTGAATTACTTATCATTGCAATTTATAAAAATTGTCATTTAAAAGTATTATTTAACTTCTTGAATCATCACTTCTTGAATAATCTCTCAATTCACATTTGGATTATGTGATTAGCAGAGGAGCCACAACAATTTTTGTTTAATCCTAAATTGGCTTCTGCTATCATTTAACATTTACACAATTATCAGAAATGCTGACTCATTTTAATACCAGCCTACATTAAACAGGATAATAAATAAGAAACTAAAGAAAAGTTTTAAAATGAGAATACATGAAATATCCAAAATCAATTAATTTGACCATCAAGTCCTTCGAGTCACCAAACCAATTCTTTTTCCACTGTTATATGGAAGGATATAATCAGTAATTTTCAGTAATATGAATAAATAATACATAGTGTATGGAATATAATTCTAGTTATTTTACTTATAAGTCTTTAATAAGCTTATTTTTATTTTAATTTTGAGAAGAACTGAATAGAAAGCACATTTGCAGCAGATATCAAGGGTTAAAATATTTATAATGCAATCTAAAATCATTAGATATTATTTTATACAGAAACAAGTATATAGAAAACATTCATAAAGAGTTTATAATATTTTAGTCATTGTTGACAAAAATGTTTACATTATTTTGAAATTGTTTATTAATTTTAACTAAAATTTGCATACAAATTATTACACTCAATAAGATTATACCCCCCACAGTTCATATTTGATTTTTTATTTATAGCCACATAAAAATATATATTAGGCAAAAAAAAACCCACAAAAACATTCATTTAAAAATTTCTGGATATAAAAAATAATTACAATATCAGTAGAAATTCTGATGCATAAATATGTTACATCAATATGATAAATGTCTATACGTACTGACCTGGACACATACCCATGATATATATTAAAGAAAAAAAAGAAAGCTGCAGAACAACATGTATTTGTGGGGGAAGTTGGAGCATATTAGAGCAACCAAATGAAGACAAAAGTGCTGGAAAGATTACATATGGGAAGCAGGAAGGCTGGAAGAGGCTGAGGAAATTTTATTTTATTTTATTTTTTAAATTTTGTAGAGATGGGGCCTTCCCTATGTTGCCCAGGCTGGTCTTGAACTCCTGGGCTCAAGCAATTCTTCCACTTTGGCCTTCCAAAATGCTGGGATTATAGGTGTGAGCCACTGTGCCAGGCCTTGTATTTTTGTATATTCCTATACTGTTTTAATATTGTATAAATATCATTAAACCTTAAGTTTTAGATAAATATTTTTATATTTATATATATGTCATAAAAGAGATGTAACCAGATACTACTCAATATTCTGAATATTCTGCACCTAATTAGTAAGGATCATATTATGACAAAACCACAAAGCAACAAATGTTAACTGCCTGACAGTCAAACTCTAAAATGACTTCATCATTTATATACTACTCAGTATTCAAATACAAGTGTCTATCCAAAGTATGTATAATATACATGTATATGCATTCCAAAGAACTGCATGTTGTGTAACCTAAGATAATTCATCAAGCATTCCCACACCCTGTAAAGTTCCAGAACCAGGGACAAAGTATTCCAGACTGACATAGATAGGCCCGGTTCACAGCTGCTAACACAGCTACTTGTCTCAATTAGCCATTCTATTCCTCCATGATTAAAAATAGACAATATACTATTAAAGACGGCCCATATACTACGCAAGAATGAAGGAGTGCCAAATCTTCCAGGGCTACTTATAGTTCATCAAAAGAAGAAAACACACCTTTATGACCATTCCAAAAGGAGCATCTTCTGGAATGCCTAACTGTTAATGGGTGGCGTACAAAGTAATTCTTCCTGCAAAATTACTTTCCATACAAGGAGATGAGCTGTACTCCCAGCTGACTTCACTTCCGTAGTACTGCTACCTCACCTTACTCATGGAGAAATAATTGCCTGTAAGGCAGATCCTTTACGGCATTTGCTTTAGTAAAGATTGAAGCACTTTATGATGACTAAAACAGTCCAATAAACAAAGAGGGTGGAGAGGGGGAATGTAAAACACATGCTCAACCAGGAACCCTCAAAAACACCTTCAGGCTAAACTGCAACTGGCATTGCTGAAGATCTGACTCGAAAAGTAGAAACACTTTAAAATGTGTAAGTGTTCTATTTTAAATAGGTACAGAATCAGGTTTTTATGGATATGTGTTTTCTTATGTCTTTTACTTAGAAGTGAAATTTTTGTATCAAAAATAACAAAAGATGTTTGTTCCATGGCTACTTACGGTATGCATTTAAACACAAAGGTATGGTTTAGAAGTGACACTCATTGTTTTTAATCTATTCAAAGTAGAAGCAAGTTATTTTAAGAATATCATGGTTTACTTTAAAAAAATTATTTTTCCATTTATAAAGAGCTTTAGGAAAGTGTGACTAAAAAGTTAACACCTATGAAAGGAGAAAAAAAGATTTTCCCAATAAAATGGAAGTAATAAAAATTGCTAGGAAACTTGAAAATGAATTTTGTAAGTCATATAAGCACCATTAAAGGAACAGCAGCTCTTTGGCTATTCATTAAAAAACAGATCATTTCAATTCAAGAATATTAACTAATCCAAGAAAAGTACTTTCCACAAACATTAAACACTCGTGTAAAATCAATCTAAATGTTGATTTCACATGCAGAACCGCCATTCAGCAAGCTGGACTGCATCAGTGTCAACAACAAATGCCTGTAGTGAAAGATGCATTCACCAAAAGGAATGGGTTAATTCAGCACCATAATATTAACACAAACACACAACTTAAAGAACTTGTGTGGGAAGGTGGGGGAATCTAGGAAGGCTCAAAAACAGTATTTCTCAAACATTTGTGTCCTTAAATCACGAGTACTGCTTCTTAAGACCCACTCCCTAGTCCTAATATACTAATTAGGTAAATCTTGAATAAGGCACAAGAATCTGTGTTTTTACTAAGATATGCAGGTAACTCCGATACAGGTAAACCAAGCAACGCTGTTCCAGAGACTCCTATACACCCTTTCAAGTTTCTTAAGAAACACAAATGGCCTATCCACAAGCACACAAATGCCTGAATACTCTCACCACCACCGTAGGAATGATTCTGTGCTACACAAAGTCAAGAAAGCAATTCCTGAACACTTGTAACATGTCACCAGTAAGCACCATGAAGTCTCCATTCCTAATGAATATTTTACAGGGAGTACAGGCAGGCTGACACTGTCAAGGAGAAACACAGCGACTTTTCGGATGTATATAATATGCCATTTTTCTCAATGCCTTTCACCTCTTAAGGAATGGCCAGGCTGCAAGAGGTGTGAAAGCTGCTAACTATACACAGAAACCTAATTGTAAATTGAAGAACATATCTGGATGCCAGGTTTTCTTCAACTTACTGCTCAGGAGGACAGAGGTCTTGAATCATTTGATTCTTGATGATATCTTACACTCAAATTACATTGAAATTATGCTTTTTTCTCATAACTTCTTTATTCCAGCTGGTCAAGTTCTTCACTGGTCAAGTCTACTGACAAAATCTATATAGGCAGCAGAGGGGCAGCACTGATACCTTTTAATAACAAGGTTGTGATATGAGATAATGTAACAAAATATTTTTAGGCAGCAAAATTAGGGTTACATTCAGCTGCCCATAGCAAAAAACCCAAAAAAGAATAGTTGTTATTTTCTTCAAGTTAAGAGAAGTATAAATAAAAGAAACCAGCCCAGGGCATCTCCCCAATGACATCATTGTCACAGACTCCCTTCCTTCTATTCAGCCACCCATGTACATAGATTTTATCTACTTTTTATTTTATTTTAATTTTTTAAGAGACAGGGTCTTACTCTGTTGCCCAGGCTGGAGTGCAGTGGCATGATTATAGCTCACTGCAGCCTTGAACTCCTGGGCTCAAGTGATCCTCCTGCCTCAGCCTCAAAAGCAGCTGGAACTACAGGCATAAGTCACCACACCTGGCTAATTTTTTAACTTTTTTGTAGAGACAGGGTCTTGCTCTGTTGACCAGGCTGGTCTCAAATTCCTGGCCCCAAGCAACTCTCCTGAACTGGCCTCCCAAAGTGCTGGGATTGCAGGCATGAGCCATTGCACCTGGCCTAATCTGTTTTTTTATTTTCACATATGGTAGCAAGAAATTCCAAGCATCGTGTTCACTTCCCAGAAAGGAAGAAGGAAATCAAAAGGGAATGGAAGAACACTTGACTCAGGGAAATAGAAATACTCCTTAGTAAATACCACTTAGACCGCACTGCAAGGAGTCTACAAAGGCAAATCTCCTAGGCTGGCACACTGCCACCCTCAAAAAAGTACAGTACTTCTAGTAAGAAAAAAGGGGATGAAAAGTATCTGATAGGCAAATTGCAGTGTTTGTCACACAAAACTTTCTTATGAGAAAAGCTATTTCAGCATTTTGGTCTACAGAGCTCACTTACAGTCTAATATTTCAATGTATCCTACTCACAAAAGATCTTTCTCTTATCTCCTGAAACTTAACCCTATAAATAAGAGAATGTTTATGTAGAGGCTACATATAAAACCTTGCCTAACTTACCAAAAGCTAAAGGATTTTTAATAGTATCCTTTATTATTTGGTTATATCTCCAAATAACAACAAAAAAAAATGTGTACACTATTTTGAGGAAAGAAATGCTAATACTAAGTTAGATGTTCACAGACGATAAGCTACAGGTCTGTACTGAGTGGTTGGAACATAAGAATTTTAACTAATATCCTGGTGGCAGAACTTAGATGTATAGGATTCATCTAAGGAATCTCAAAGAAATGCACTGAGTCCCCAGTTCCGCCTTCCTGATCGTGAGGGGGGCCTTTGAGACCTCCTCTTCATCCTGAGTCCCAATTCGTAATTGACTGACCTTTCACCACACCGATGTCACATGATTTCATGTTTTTTAAAAGGTAAAAGAGCCATCAGAGATAATATTTCTTTTTCTTTTTTTTTTTTTTTTTGAGACGGAGTCTCACTCTGTCACCTAGGCTGGAGTGCAGTGGCGCAATATTGGCTCGCTGCAACTTCCGCCTTCCAGGTTCAAGCGATTCTTCTGACTCAGCCTCCTGAGTAGCTGGGATTACAGGCACATGCCACCACGCCCGGCTAGTGGTTTTTGGGGTTTTTTTTTTTGTATTTTTAGTAGAGACAGGGTTTCACCATATTGGCCAGGCTGGTCTTGAACTCCTGACCTTGTGATCCGCCTGCCTTGGCCTCCCAAATGCTGGCATTACAGGCATAAGCCACCGCACCCAGCCAATAATATTTCTTATGGATAAGGTTTATGAACTAAACAGAACTCCATGCGGTTCACTCACTTCACATAATTTCTTAACTACATATATATTACATTGGCCATGCAGTGTGTGAAATACTTTCATTTATAGACTAATCATATTGCTTGATGACATAGCTGTAGCACAATAATAATATGTAATCAAAGGGAGACATACTGTAGTCAGAATCCTACGGTGCTAACACGAGTAAATGGTGAAAGTGTTAAGAGAAATGAACTTGGAAACTAGAAGGGATTGGTGAACAGGATAGAAGAATTTGGCAAGAGCCAAACAGACAAAAGTAGAGATCTGTACTTTCTTCTGTTCTTATACAGATGATTGCCATTAGTGTCTATCAAGAAGTAACAGATATCCATTACACATGTATTTGACTTGTGACTCTGTTCTCAAGACATTAGTTTCTCTTTCCCCCTTCCCCTCCTTTCCTTCCCAACACCTCTCCTCTTAATACCAGAAACACACGTGATGGAGGAAAGTCCCCTCATACCCACCTACACTCTCTTTTATGTAGTCATGTGACTAGTCACATGAGGTTTCAATAAAGCTACCCATGACAACTTATTGTCCAATTACTCCAACATAGACGCTCCCCATGTCAAGATAAATATTAGGAATATGGTCTTGTTCTGTATATAATATCAAACAATTGTAACTACTCTCCTCAAAACTCCCATGGTACTCTATTATTCTCTATGATAGCATTTCTATAACAGAAGCCTAGTGATCTGAAATAAACTATCCAAGCTTATATAGCTAAGGCAGTAAATAGCACTAGGTCCAGAACATCCGACTTCAAACCCAGTGTCCTTTTAGTACAGTATAACACAAACCCCTACATGGTTCTTAATATCTCCTCTGACTGGCTGTGTACCTATGGACAAACTACATGATTTCTCTGGGCTTCCCTCAGTCTCCTAGTTTGTAAAATGAGAATGATAATTCCTTGCAGAGTGACATGAGATACAAATAAGAATGCATGTAAAAGAGTTTTCTTAAGTTATTTTCAGTATACTTATTCTGACATATAAACAAAGATAATCCATATGTTACATAGTTATATATAGTGATCCACGCAAAGTAAATTAATAATTCTATTTGCCTCCAAAGTTCGTATTTTCAAATTATTTAATTTAATGCCTTCCTCACAAATTTTTTAAAACTTCTTAGAAATTCACTTTCTTCTTAATTTTAACATCTTCAAATTTAACTTTCCCTAAAAAAGAAAGAAAAATGTTTTCAGCTATTACTTAATTCCATTTATCAACAAAAAATATTATTTCAATGGGAATCCAGAAGCCGGGTCCTGTTTTTATTTGTTCCCCTGTAAAATTATATGTCACATGTAATGGAATCTGAACCTGAAAGATAAAAATGCTGAGTTGGCTGAACCATGATCTCAGATTGGTAACACACTTCACTAACAGCGTGCTAGTAAAACCATACTTTGCACAGAATGTACCTTGTTTCTGGAGACATGCAGGAAACGTATCTAAGGTCTCAAGTGTCTCTCTTGGAGTAACTGATTGAATTTCAACACGAGAGGTAAGTGGAGGGAATAAAAAGAAGAGGAGACATTAATATTAAATCAGTGTATCCTAATATGTGGTCAGGATTATTTTAGATGGTACATGAATGAAGAATTGTACTAAGATAAATATAACAAAGACATCAAATCCATGATTCCATAAATGTGAAGATTAGAATGATAATCAAGTATGAATTTTAACTTTAAAAGCAGGGTAATAATCATGAAAGTAGTAAGCAAATGACATATCTGGGATATGGAAATAATCACGAACGGAATAAACAAATGACAAATCTGTAAAACACGATGTTGAACCATCTCTATTTTTCCATATTAAAATTATCCCTCAGAAAATTATTTTATCTAATTCAAATGACCAAGTTTCTTTAACATAAAACTGCAAGAAATAAAGTACTACAGAAGAGAAATTTATAGATTAAAATGGATTTAAGAAATTTACAAACCATCCAAAAGTATGGACCTTATTGGGGTCCTGATTCAAACAAACTTTTAAAAATAATTATAAACATACACATGTATATACTTATGAATGACAATCAGGGAAATGAGAACACTGAGTATCTTATGTTGGAAAGTAAAACTGGCCATGTACTTTTGAACCTCAGTGATGGGTACATTGGGTTTATTATATTATTTATATAATGCTGAAAATTTCCACATTAAAATTTTTAAGTTTGTTTTAGTATGTTTTTAATTAACACTAATTTTACCAAAATTTAAAATTATGATCAGAAGGAAATTAAAAACAAGTCTCTTATTTTGAAACTAATTTTGAGGGGCTACTTTTTCTGATAAACAAGCCATTTTTAAACACATCCTCTCTCCTCACTCACCCTCCCACACAACTCAACTTTTTAAAAGGGCTAAGTTAACCATTCTGTCATAATAATATATGCTTTAGAAGCAAATAAAAGTGATTTCCTCTCTAATTTAGATACTTTCAGAGTTCCAACATCCTCAACACAAGTCAATAAATTCACCAAGGAATAAAAAAGAGTTAATAATTTTTAATCTTAACATTTTGGTGTTCATTTCCCTGTCTAGTACATTTTTTTCTGTATTTATTTTATTTTATTTTAGTGACAGGGTCTTGGTCTGTCACCCAGGCTCGAGTGCAGTGGCACGATCATGGCTCAGGGCAGCCTTGACCCCCTGGGCCCAAGTGATTCTCCTGCCTCAGCCTCCTGAGTAGCTGGGACTATAGGTGCACACTACCATGCTCAGCAAATTTTTTAATTTTTTGTAGAAGCAGGGTCTCACTATGTTGCTCAGGCTGGTCTCAAACTCAAGCAACCCTCCTGCCTCGGCCTCCTAAAGTGCAAGGAATTAGAGGAATGAGCCACTATGCCCAGCCCATCTACTAAATTTAGACAATGATCCATACCACAATTACCAGGTTAATATAATTACAGTAACTAATTTTAAAAGGCAAAGTCCAAAACTCATTATTAGACATTCATTACTCAACAGTCATTTCATTCTCCCAAAACTAAAGTAAATAAAAAAGCGAAAATGATGACAGCTCTTTGCACACTTGCACATAAAAAGCAAATAACAGAGATGCACAAACCAATATTGAACTCAGAGATATTTATTAGTTAATCTCAAAAGGTCTTAAACTTAACCAAAATTGGGCTGGGTGCAGTGGCTCACACCTGTAATCCCAACATTTTGGGCACTGAGGCAGAAGGATCACTTGAGCCCCAGGAGTTCAAGGCCACAGTGAGCTATAATTGCACCACTGCACTCTAGCCTGGGTGACAGAACAAGACCTTGTCTCTTTAAAAAAAATAAATAAATAACCCAAATCACAACATGATATGCTAGACTCTGTAATTTAAAAAAAAAAAGGGAGGTAAAATATCTGTGAAGTGGCTACTTCACAGATGATTAAAAATAGAAGTACCCTATTAAGGAAGTAGAAAATATAACACTTTAAATAAAATTTAGAATATTACTGTAAATTGGTACCAAATTTAAAGAAATCCAGCACAGACAAGGCATTACGGAGAAAAGACCAAGATTTCTCAAAGCATAAGTAAGCTTTAAAAACTGGAATAATGGGCCACGGTGGCTCACACCTGTAATCCAAGCACTTTCGGAGGCCAAGGTGGGTGGATAACGAGGTCAGGAGATCAAGACCATCCTGGCTAACACGGTGAAACCCCATCTCTACTAAAAATACAAAAAAATTAGCCAGGTGTGGTGGCGGGCGCCTGTAGACCCAGCTACTCGGGAGACTGAGGCAGAAGAATGGCGTGAACCCAGGAGGCAGAGCTTAAAGTGAGCGGAGATCGCGCCACTGCACTCCAGCCTGGGTGACAGAACGAGACTCCGTCTCAAAAAAAAAATGAAATAAAATAAAACAAAACAACAACTGGAATAATGGCTGGCAGCGGTGGCTCATGCCTATAATCCCAGCACTTTCGGAGGCGAGGCAGGCAGATCACGAGGTCAGGAGATCGAGATCAGCCTGGCCAACACGGTGAAACCCCATCTCTACTAAAAATACAAAAATTAGCTGGGCATGGTGGCACATGCCTGTAATCCCAGCTACTCAGGAGGCTGAGGCATCGCTTGAACCAGGGAGGCGGAGGTTGCAGTGAGCTGAGATCGCACCACTGCACTCCAGCCTAGCGACAGAGCAAGACTCTGTCTCAAAAAAAAAAAAAAAAAAGGAATAAGCTGTCTTTATCAGCATCAAGATAATGCAGCAACCCCACACAAAAATTAATTCCAGATGAATTCCAGAGTTTGAAAATATTGAAAACTTAGAAAAAGCAAATGACAGGGTATTTATTAAATATTTCAATGGAAATGACTACCTAATCTTTTAAGATATTTAAAAATGTAAAGGAAAAGATTTGAACAAATGAAAATAAATTTTTGTATATCTAAAAATACATAAACAATAAAAATGCAGAGACCGGCAGAAATATGCACAGCAAATACTATATAATAACAGCTTAACATCATTTAATATCAAGGTTCATAAAAACCAAAACCACATACAGTATAATTATTTCCTTCTTACACAAGGGATCTTGAGCCATGAGGGAAGAGGAGTGTTTAAAATATAAAAGGACTAATACGATCAGTTTTGGGGCTGGGGGATGTAAACCTTTTTTGTATTGTCTGTGCTGGCAGCTGTCTCCTCACTCATATCTTTTCCCTGCTTTTCTCTGCCCTCTCTGTATGACAGAGAACTATATTCCCCAGGCTCCCTTCCTCTCTCTGCTTTGTGGATAGGTCCCACCAATAAAAGGCAATGGCAGAGGTCTGAAGGGTAGAAGGAGGGGGAAAGCCTTGGTATTTCTCTCCCTTTCTGTATCTTCCCTAAGGTTTCACCCCTGGTCAATCAGCCCCTGGCTCTACAGTCCCAGCTCCAGACCCATGCCTTCTCTGCAGTTTTCACTCCTGCCAGACAGACCCACAGTTGGGCTCTGGGAACACCACTTCTTCCCATCATCTCTCTGGGTCCCTAAGGGTGGCAGTGATTACCTGCTGCTGCTCATCTCTAGATTGCCCCACCATATACCCATAGATCCTGTTTGATTTCTCTGCTCTACCAAAACCGATTTTACCAATGCCTTGTAATAAAATTTCCTGTTGAAAACATCTAGAGTGTTTTTGTTTTCCTAACTGGACTCTGATTCATTTAATTCCCAAATCAAGACCTTAATGGTAAGTTTCAATAGAAGACACAGGTAACTCAAGTAAATGTTTACCATATCTTACTTTTTAGAAAAAATTAAGAAAATTGAGATGTATAAATTACTCATGATCTAGAATTACTTAACACTAACCATCTTATGTATATTCTCTATGGTCCACATTTATCTAAAAAGTAATCATGGTGAGTAAGAGAAGTCATATTTAAAACATTTTTTCAAAGAATTGAATAAAAAAAGACAGCTGCTGATTTAGTGATCTTCTACTAAATGAGCTTTAGCTCTAGGCTCCTCCCAAACCCTTAACTTTTTCCTTCTCTCTCCTTCCCCTAGTGATATTTTCTCCAGGAGCAAAAATAATTGAAAGCTGGTGAAAGGCAGTGGAAAATGTTACACAGAACCTTGAAAATTAGACTTACATCAACTTTTGCCAGTATACTTCTGCCAAGATTAAAAAATCAGGATCGAAGCAAAGACAAACACCATAAAATGATGACAATATGGGTGAGAAGAGATAAATAAGCAGCATGTAAAAAAAACACAAGATATGATAGAATATTTTACCTATGTCCATATTTCACGTATATCTTAAAATGGAATAATCTAAGAATGGTTTAGTTTCTCATCATGGTTTGCCTTAAAACAATCCAATATACAAAGATCTCTGGCCAGGCGCAGTGGCTCATGCCTGTAATCTCAGCACTTTGGGAGGCCAAGACAGGCAGATTGCTGGAGCTCAGCAGTTTGAGACCAGACTGGGCAACATGGGAAAATGCCATCTCTACAAAAAAAAAAATAAAAATCAGCCGGGCATGGTGGCACTTGCCTGTAGTCCCAACTACTTGAGAGGCTGAAGTGGGAAGATTACTTGAGCCCTGGAAGGTCAAGGCTGCAGTGAGCCACGATTGTGCCACTGCACTCCAGCCTGGGCAAGAGTGAGACCCTGTCTCAAAAAAAAAAAAAAAAGTCTCAAAGCTCTCCTTATAAAAATTCCTAAAAGCGCCATTTTGTCTAACCAATAATAGGAAATAAATAGAGCAAGAAAAAAAAAAAGTACTGAAATGGTGGTTTTGGTGTGTTTTACAAAATGAAAAACAGGCTGGGCACAGTGGCTCATGCCTGTAATCCCAGCACTTTGGAAGGCCGAGGTGGGAGGATTGCTTGAGCCCAGGAGTTTGAGGCCAGCCTGGGCAACATGGTGAGAATCCTGTCTTTACCAAAAAAAAAAAATTATCCAGCCCCGGTGGCACATGCCTGTGGTCCCAGCTACTCATAAGGCTGAGGCAGGAGGGTCATTTGAGCTCAGCAGGTTAAGGCTGCAATGAGCTGTGATAGCGCCACTGCACTCCAGCCTGTGTGACACAGCAAGACCCTGTCTTAAAAAAAAAAAAAAAAAAAAAAAAAAACACCAAGCACACCTACCTTCTTTTGGATAGAACCCAAATTCATTTAAACCAAAAAAATAATTTTAATGAAAAACAGCACTGTCTTAAAAAATCACTGATTCTATATATTTCAGCAAGCGGCCTACCATTTCTGCTTAATAGCCTAATTCAAGCCTAACTGAGCCATGACCTGTACATTTGTAATAGTAGTTTAAACCATTTTCTACTTGTCACAATAATAACTTCCTTTAACTTACGTGCCTAACTTGGTATCAAAAGTAAAATAAATAGACATAAAAATTAGCAGTCACAAAATCAAATATTTTAAATTATACTACAAAGGAATTGATGCCATAAGTAGAATATAGATTTCCTTGATTAATAACTTTACATTGACTTTTAAGGAGGTTCATGAAAGACTATACTAAAATAAAATTTTATAAATACAGTTGACTCTTGAACAACGCGGGGATTGGATGTGCCAACCCCCATCCCCATGCAGTTGAAGATTCATGTATAACTTTTGACTCCCTAAAAACTTAACCACTAATGGCCTACAGTTGACCAGAAGCCTTACTGGTAACATAAACAGTCAATTAACATGTATTTTGCATTATATATATATTAATACTATATTCTTTTTTTTTTTTTTTTTTGAGACGGAGTCTGGCTCTGTTGCCCAGGCTGGAGTGCAATACCGTGATCTTGGCTCACTGCAACCTCCGCCTCCCGGGTTCAAGCAATTCTCCTGCCTCGGCTTCCTAAGTAGCTAGAATTACAGGTGCCAGCCACCATGCCCGGGTAATTTTTGTATTTTTAGTAGAGACGGGGTTTCACCATGTTGGTCAGGCTGGTCTCGAACTCCTGACCTCATGATCCGCTCGCCTCG
This sequence comes from Homo sapiens, assembly GCF_000001405.40. NCBI lineage: Eukaryota > Metazoa > Chordata > Mammalia > Primates > Hominidae > Homo > Homo sapiens. Next base: position 94,478,022 of record NC_000004.12, on the reverse strand, counting down.
GCCTCCCAAAGTGCTGGGATTACAGGCGTGAGCCACTGTGCCCGGCTGATACTATATTCTTAAAGTAAGCTAAAGAAATCATTCCTTTTAAAAAAGCATGAGAAAAAATATTCACTATTCACTAAGTGGAACTGGATCATCAAAAAGGTCTTCATCCTTGTCATCTTTCTTCATGTGGAGTAGTCTGAGGAGGAGAGGAGGGATTGGTCTCACTGTCTCAGGGGTAGCAGAGGCAAAAGAGGTGGAGGAGGTGGAAGGGGAGGCAGGACAGGCAAGCACAGTTGGTGTAACTTTTATTGTAAAAAATCACCATATAAATGGACCCATGCAGTTCAAACTCATGTGGTTCAGGAGTCAGCTGTATACATAAAACCATAAGCCAAAATGTATTAACTTTTTTGTTTCATTACATTTCTTCTATTACTGACCATTTTAAAAACTACTTTAAAATAAAAGCCAGTCTTACTCTTTTCCTCCAAGTTTCAACGTTTAAAGAAAACCATGAAGAGAAGTCAAAAAGGCCAATTCCAAAAAAGGAAGTATCTCTCAGATAACACAGGTCACTTTCAATACTTTAAGAACATTTAAACACACAAATCAAGAAAATGTTCTGTAAGGTTACAGAAGTGTATCTCCAAGCTGGACTGCATGCCAAAATTTACTAACTCATATTAACTTAAATTGTCCTTTTACTGCCTCTGGCTTGAAAACCTTTAAAACTATTTCCTAAATACCAGGATATAGCAGGGCTGGCTCTACGAAGAGCAGCTATTGTCAAAGGCCACCCAAGATACCCCAAAGGCAATATGGCCAGAAAAGAATGGATAACTGCCAATAGTAACTCCACCCAGATCTCTAAAACCAATACTTCCTTTCTACCACTCTTCCCTCACCTCATCTCCTTCCAACAGACACAAAACAATACCATGCACAAACTTTTGAAGACATAGAAGCTGGGAAGGGGCATGTGTTGATGCTTGAAGTAAACACTAAATCTCTATCTTAAAATATTAACGATCATAGAATCCATACTAACATTAAAAACAGTTTATATTTATAATTGCACAGTCTGCCAGATAATGTTCCAAGTGCTTCAAAAATAGGAACTCAATATTCACAGGAACTCTATAATACAGGCATACTGTTAATAACTATTTTACAAATAAGAAAACTGAGACCTTGAGTTTTATAACTTATTCTAGGTTACACAGCAAGAAAGTGTCCCTACTGCGATTTGAACCCACGATGGCTGGCTCCAGAGTCCAAACTCTCAAGAGTTGGGATATCCTGCCTTTGTATCCCTGTATTTGTTACATCTCCTCTAAACTATTATAAGCATGAAAAATTTAAGTATGAAACCAATACTGCAGAACAACAACCAACCAAAAAAGGGATGATAAAGGGCTTTCTATACTCATGATGGAGGAAGATCCAAGGTGTACTGTTACATAAAGAATGTCAGAAACGTGTCTGTTTTCACAAATATTCATAAAAATGTCCACATTTCAGGTTTGGCAGGGGGTTTTATTGTTTTGCTTTTAGCATTTTTGTTGTCATTGTTTCCTATGCAGTTTCAACTGGAATATATATATGTATAATTTTTATAATCAAAATGTAAATTTATATTTTCTTCCTCTAGTTATAAATTACTATTTATAAAAAAAGACAGCGAGAGAAAAGGACTAACTCTTAATTAAAATATAACAATTCTTTAGGCTTTACTTTTACGTGTCCAGAAAGGTTTGGGTTAACTAAAAACAAAGTCACATTCTTATCCACCCAAGATAAAATATTCATAATATGTAATTATGAATAATACACAATCGCAAATAATGTGTGGGCAGAATCAGGTTTCAGTGTTCAACAGTTAATACTAAATTATCAAGTGCATCCATACTTTATTCTCATGAGACATGTAGGCATGAATTATATTTATGACATATTTGTTTTTAGCTTAGAAACGATACAACTTCAAGAGTTACCTAACAGTTGAAATGACCTAAGAGCAATATATAGCAAATATTTACAGTGATTGTGTGTGTTTTAAGAGAAGGCATAACAAAACTGCCTTGGGGTTATTGAACTGGGAGGTGATTTGCCAATTCTGACAAACTTTACACTGTCTTGAAATATAGAGGCTATGTCCTGGTAAATCTGTTCAATTTAGTTAAAAAATCATATTACCATAATTAAACAACCCCGAGGTAATTTGTAAAACTCCAGGTAAATATGATACTATTTTTTCTCCTATTTTTTAACCATCTTAACCATTTTTAAATGTATGCCATTTTAAAATGTGTAGTTAGTAATGTTAAGTATATTCATATTGTTGTGCAAAAGAACTTCAGAACTTTTCATCTTGCAAAACTGAAACTATACTCATTAAACAACTCCCTGTGTCCACCTGCCCCTTAACCCTGGTAATCACCATTCTACATTTTTCCTACTAGTTTTTATTTTTATTTTCATTTAAAGAAAGACTACAACTTTTAAGTTGAAAAGAATTAACCCTAATGCAAATACTCATCATCATTTCTAGGGAAGGGCACATTGACCATGAAACTCAAGAGTCCATTGTTTATTTGCAAAAAATCTGAATTATCTAAAAACCAAATGTAAGACCTTAAAGAGCCTGCTAAATCAACTGCCAATTTTTGTTGAAGAAAGTACTTCCTTAACAGAATTACTGAAAATTAAGTTTTAAAACTGCTACCAACTCTAGAGAGGCATATCATCTGCATGGCATTCAGAGCATTACCATTAAACTGAATTTAGAAAGTAGTTCTCCATTAGAATAAGTCCCTCCTTTATACAACAACCTCCTTTGAGGAGAAAATTTCTTGCATTTCTTGCCCCTCCTTTAGGTAAAAAAAAAAAGGCGGGGGAGGGCAGAAGTTTCATTGACCCAAAGGGTAATAAAGTTGATTATAAAACTTTTCAGTGGGATAACTTAGATAATTGTCTAACGATGATAAAACTTGTCTTAAAAGGAATCAAAGTTGATATGAAAAATAATTTGGAAAAACTGCCCCTTCCCAAGAAAATACTTAGCTATTATTACTGAAAATGTCAGCTGGCTTCAGTGGCTCATTTCTGTAATCCCAGCGCTTTGCTAGGCCAAGGCAGGAGAACAGCCTGAGTGCAACAGTTCAATACCAGCCTGGTCAAAATGGCAAGACCCCACCTCTACAAAAAATTTCAAAAAATTAGCTGTGCATGGTGGCATGTGCCTGTAATCCCAGCCACCTGGGAGGCTGAGGTGGGAGAATCCCTTGAGTCCAAGAGATGGAGATTACAGTGAGCTGTGATCTTGACTGCCTTGGTGCCAGAGCAAGACCCTGTCTCTAAAATATACAAATAAGAAATAAAATTTTAATAAAAATAGTCTAATGACTACCACGGAAGCCAAGACAATTGGTCTGTGGCTACCACTTCACCAGATAAAATTAGCTGTCTTCAAAAGGTGTAAATGGGCCAGGCATGGTGGCTCACACCTGTAATCACAGCACTTTGGGAAGCCAAGGTGGGCAGATCACCTGAGGTCAGGAGTTTCATACCAGCCTGGCCAATATGGTGAAACCCCGTCTCTACTAAAAATACAAAAATTAGTCAGGCGTGGTGGCGCATGCCTGTAATCCCAGCCGCTCGGGAGGCTGAGGCAGAAGAATCACTTGAACCCAGGAGGCGGAGGTAGCACGGAGCCATGATCGCACCACTGCACTCCACCCTGGGCGACAGAGCAAGACTCTGTCTCAAACAAAAACAAAAACAACAATAAAAAAGATGTAAATGAAATGTTTTAATGATCATCCACTGAATGACACCAAAGTTTCCCAAGAAAGCCTTCTGAAAGAAAAATTTAAAAAGCAATTTCAAATGTTATTTCACAAATCCCTAAATAAACTAAAACATTCAACATGCTAATATGCCTAGAATAATCTGCATGTTACTTTGGTGATTACCCAAAAGATACTAAAATTTCTCAGCCTCCATTTTCAAGCTGAAATCTTGGTGTAAAGACAAAAATAATTTTATTTCACCTTGATTTTTAAAGTGAGTATTATTGTTAGGATGATGACAATGAAAATAAATTAGTCACCACTCCATAAAAATTATCACTGAACTATGTATTTAATCTGACTCCACTTCTCATTCATAATCAGTTACTCTTCCTACATATCAAACAACAGTACCAAGAATGCAAATATCACCACTGACAACCTTTTAAAACTTCAAATACTATTAATAATTAACATCAGTCCTTAATAAAACAACATTGCAATCAGCAGAGACTTCAAACTTGAGAGAAAATATTTACTGCTTACCAAAAACAAACAAAACACCCACTATGTTGACAAGACCTTATTTTAATCCAAGGAAAAAGAGCTTCTGTCCCATCAACAAACCATAGCACAGGATTTAATTTTGAGAAGTATCTACCTTCAGCTCTCTAAAATCATCTGGGCCAGGCGCGGTGGCTCATGCCTGTAATCCCAGCACTGTGGGAGGCCAAGGCGGGTGGATCACGAGGTCAGGAGTTCGAGACCAGCCTGACCAACATGGTGAAACCCTGTCTCTACTAAAAATACAAAAGTTAGCCTGGCATGGTGGCACAAACCTTTAATCCCAGCTACTTGGGAGGCTGAGGCAGGAGAACTGCTTGAACCCGGGAGGTGGAGGTTGCAGTGAGCCAAGATTGTGCCACTGTACTCCAGCCTCGGCAACAGAGTGAAACTCCGTCTCAAAAAATAAAAATAAAAAAAATAAAATCACCTCTTACTATTCTCCCTCTCATTCTGCCTACTCCAGCCATCGGAGCCTTGCTGTTCCTTGAACATGCCAAGCAAATGCTCACCTCAAGGTCTTTACCCTTTGCCCTGAATACTATTCCTGGACTTTATCCAGATCTCTGCTCAAATGTCACCTTATCTGTGAGGTCTTATTTGCTCACCTTCTACAAATTATGTAAGCCCCATGCAACTGCCACTCTTTCCCTATACCTCTTTGTTTTGCTCCATACCATTTTATCACCATTTATTTTTGTTTACTGTCTCTTCTTCACCTCCCTAAAACATAGATTTGAGAGGGCACAGACTTTGTTTTATTCACTGCTGTATCTTTAGTTCCTAGGACAATGTCCTGCATATAATAAATGTTCAATAAATATTTGTGGAATGAGTAAATAAATCAATGGAGTGAGCAATAATAATTTACATTTATATGACTGAAGTTCAGATTTGCTAAATTTTATAATTTATTTCATAAAATTCACAGAGGTTGTAACCAGTGTGACAACATACAAATCTCCCAACTTTATCTATAAATGCCGCATTTAGGGAGGCACTCATCCTAGTCTAGCTGGCCACCACCAGGGATGCAGGATGGCAAGATAAAGAGCATGGTGACCTCTACCCACAGGCAGCTGATGCTGGAAAAACACCTAGAAAGCAATAGTACAAAAGGCAGGTACATTGCTTAGTTCATCTAGTCTACATTCATTCCACTTACCTATTCTGTCTTGTGAATTCATCCTTCACTGCAGAAAACTATTCCCTAGAGCAACTGCCTATCACCAGCAATACTGTGTTTCATGCTACTTTAAAAGAATCTAAAACAAAACAAAACAAAACAAAACTACACTGAATGGCAATCACTGTGGAAAGAATGTCTAATTGGAGGTACTACTGGTGCCAACTCTCCCTTCAAATCTCTTGGAGAGTTTATGCCAGACCATGACAGATGGAAGAAGGAAATGGACCACTCATTCAACAAATATTTACTATGTACTGACTATAAAGAAGAGACTTCATAAGTAATTCAATCCAAACCTACAGGGTGCGTGTGCGTGTGTGTGTGTGCGCGTGTGTGTGTGTATTAAAAAAATTGCTTCTAGAAAATCCTACATAAAAACCTTCAAAAAAGAAAAGCAGAATTGAATTTTGAAGATGATATTATCTAAGAAGTGAGGCATCTAGAAATATTATTTCAATAATAGTTTCAAAACTGTTTCAACTCCCTATTACTAGTAAATACTTATAAGGTCTTTATAAGTACAAATACTTATAAGGTCTTTGTAAGTACAAATACTTATAAGGTCTTTGTAAGTATAAATACTTATAAGATCTTTGTAAGTATAAATACTTATAAGATCTTTGTAAGTACAAATACTTATAAGGTAACTTACAATGTTATTAGGTAACCTTAACTGAATACTTACTGTGTACCAGGCACTTCTAAAAACCTTACAAGTGTTAATTTATTTAATTTTCTCAACAATCCTATGATGCAAATATTTTTACCCTTATTTGACAGGTAAAGAACTTGGGGCACTGTTCAGTAATTTGACCAGTGGTAAATTACAGCTGGTAAATTACACAGCCATGATCCACACACAGGCATTCTGTTCCAGGGCTGGCACTTGTAATAACTACAATCAACAGCATGTAGAATACAGTTCACTAAAAATGTAATTCTAAAGTATTATGTTGGGAGAAAATATAAATCCTAAAAGACTGCTATGAAAAAAGCAAGAAAAATACAGTACTAATATATTAGTTTTGATAATATAATGTTTACAGATATTTGACTATTCATCACTATATAATCATGGTTAACTGAAGTTTTTTTTTTTAAGCCTAGAAATTTAAGTACTATTAGATTACTTTAAATCTAAGATAAAATCTTTTACGAAACTATCTCTCAAGTAGACTTTATGGTGTATTGTGTTATCATATTTAATATAACAGGTAATTTATAAGTTGGTTTTAAAGTAGTATTTTGCAACTATACCCCAAAACTCACAGAAAAACTTGCTACCCTGAATTTATAAAAAGCTGATCTTGAATATTGATATGGTTTGGCTGTGTTCCCACCCAAATCTCAAATTGTAGCTCCCATAATTCCCACATGTCATGGGAGGGACCTGGTGGGAGGTAACTGAATGATGGGGGCGGGTCTTTGCCATGCTGCTCTCATGATAGTGAAAAAGTCTCACGAAACCTGATGGGTTTATAAAGGGGAGTTCCCCTGCACATGATCTCTTCTCTTGACTGTCGCCATGTAAGATGTGACTTTGCTCCTCCTTCGCTTCCACCATGATTATGAGGCCTCCCCAGCCATGTGGAACTGTGAGTCAATTAAAAAACCTCTTTCCTTTATAAATTACCCACTCTTGGATATGTTATTAGCAGTGTGAGAACAGACCAATACAAATATGAAGTATGAAGTTACATAATTTACTACTTCATAATGTAGACATTATTATCTACTACTGAGGACCTAGAGCTATATGATACTGATGACATTTTTGTCAATTACAATGTTGAAGGCTGAAAATCTGAATTTACTGAAACTAGACATTAACTCTAATCAAGTGATCTCTCTGAAAGTTCAGAAATGAAAAACATATTAAAACTTATACACACCCTCCACTAGAAATAATAAAAGGGTCATAAAATGTAACTCTTGGCATTGGGTATATTAGCCAACCAATTGGCTAAAATATTCTTTTTAAAAATAGATATACTGTAAAAATTTTTTCAGCTCAACAGATCTGACCTAGAATAAACATCCTAACACTCACTTTGTCTTTGAGGCAAATTCTAATAAATGTGTTACCAGCATAATTTGTAAACAACTCCTGAATGTGTATGCAACATTTCTTTATTAAAGTAGAAAAGGTCGTAACATCACAAGGAAAGGAAAACAGAAGCCATCTGGGAGACAAGCTACATCTAACAATAAAAAATAACAAAATTTAGGCCAGGCACAGTGGCTCATGCATGTAATCCCAGCACTTTGGGAGGCCGAGCTAGGCGGATCACGAGGTCAGGAGATCAAGACCATACTGGCTAACATGGTGAAAACCTCTCTACTAAAAATACAAAAAATTAGCCGGGTGTGGTGGCATGTGCCTGTACTCCCGGCTACTGGGGAGGCTTAGGCAGGACAATTACTTAAACCCGAGAGGCGGAGGTTGCAGTGAGTCGAGATCACGCCACTGCACTCCAGCCTGGGCGACAGAGTGAGACTCTGTCTCAAAAAAAAAAAAAAAAAAAAAAAATTAAAAGAATGCAAAATAGGAAAAATATAATCAGTGTGCAAATAATGAAAAAAAATCATGTATGTGTTAGAACTATAACTAAAAATTTTCAAGACAAACATATATTTAAATGAGTGTTTCACTTCCAAATAGTCACCTCAGAAGGCTATACAGTTATTCCTTTGCTCAAAAAAAATTTTAAATTCTTGCCCTGGAATTTCTATCAAAAGCAATTTATGAAACATACCAGCCTGGAGATATGGTCAGATCACCATAATAGTAACCCACTCTCTCTAGCTCAGCTCTAATCCAGAGGAATCAAAATCCATCTAAAATCCCCAGGAGTTGTCCTACCATGGCCTCCAATGTTATCCTCCTCATTACCAGGAACCTCTTTATCTCTCACCCTGGCACTGGACATACTCCCTATTCTCACTCCACTTTCCTCCTTGCTCACAGCATTCCTGCCACACTAGCCTTCTTTCTATTTCTTAAACACATTCAGCTCTTTCCTGTCTCAAGGCCCCTGCACTTGCTAATCTCTGTGCCTGCAATGTGTTTTCCCAGCTCTTCACGTGATTAGTTCTCATTCTTAGGTCAATGCTGCCTCCTCAGAGGGCCTGTATTGACTGTCCAATCTAAAAATGAAACTCTTACCCCTAAACACCCATCCCTTTCCTCCAGTTACTCTCTGGCACATCACCTTATTAAATTACATTGCTTATGTTTTTTGTTTTTTTTGTGTGTGAGTTACCATTCCCCCTTACTAGACTATAAGGTACATAACTTTGTTTTGTTTATCACTGTATTTTCAGTGCATACAACAGTACAGAGCACATAGCTGGCACTCAATAAAGATACAGAATAAATGATTCTGTCTGCCACTACTACTTTTGTGTCTGCCCCATGGGTTCTATAAATCCTAGTCTAGAAGTTCCCTGCAACCCTGACACAGGCTATGTGATCAACGCTCATCTTTTCCTTTCCTAGATCTGATGACATTTATGTCCTCTCCTATGTCCAATCTCCTTCCTACATTTCATATCATGTGCCATGTGGCCTTTGTCAGAAAATGGAAAAGCACACTCTATATCCAAGGCCCAGAACATGGTAAGAGATCAATAAATATGTGTTGACTAACACCTCTTCTTATGGCTCTGACATGTGTCATTCAGAAAACCATACCAACAGGACATAACCTGCCATACTGAGAATTTACCCACTTCTCCTAAAAGATAGTAAGTAGTAACAATAAAATCGACAAGGACTAAGTTTGACTACACCTCAATTATGTTTTTCCTAAATTTATTCTCATGAGTCTTTGATTTCTCATCCAAACACACACCACAGACATATGCACCTAAAAACAAAACAAACAAAAACATCTGCTTCTCTTAGGCTCTCCTAATCTCCATATTATGTCCAGACAAGCCTAAATATGCACATGGACAGAGCACAGACTAGGTTTAGTTTTCTTTCCTTTTTATGTCTTCTCTTAAACAGAAGACATAGAAATTGTAAAAATTTCAAGCAGTACAAAAGTGCACAGATGCCAGGCACCGTGGCTCATTCTTGTAATCCCAGAGGATCACTTGAGCCCACATGTTTGAGACCTGCCTGGGCAACAAAGCAAGAGCTCATCTCTACAAAAAATGTAAAACATTAGCTGGGCACAGTGGCGCACACCTGCAGTTCCAGCTACTTGGGAGGCTAAGGCAGGAGGATCGCTTGAGACCAGGAGTTCAAGGCTGCATGGAGCTCTGATTGTGCCACTGCACTCCACCTGAGTGACAGAGCAAGACCCCATCCCAAAAAAAAAAGTGCATAGAGGGAAAAAAGTGAAAGTTCCATCAAGCTCATTGCTCAGAACAGCTTCTAAATCCCACCATCAAGTCATACAAAAATCAGTTTCCTTACTTCATAATTAAAACTTTGCATTGGTCTTAACATATCTGAGGTATTAGGTTCAGTTCTAGGAGTTGACTTAAAGAGACAATTAAAACCTAAACTACTTTTAAAGGTAAATGCTAAGGGATGTGAAGATAGGGAAGCTGTCATGAGAGAAACATTTGAAGAAATGGCTTCTTACAGAATATCCACAAGACTCAAAGGGAAATATAACTCATTCCCCTGTTTGAAAGGCTGTAATGTGCAAACATGCATGTTTGTTGTGCAGGGCACTAAAGAAAAGAAGTAGAACTGTTGGGTCGGAAAGACAAAAAACAAATCCTGGCTGACACATGGGAAGACCACCTTGGGAAGTAAGGGTCTATCATATAATGTAACCTCTAGGATACTTCCTAGAAACTTAAATCCTGATTAGGATTGAAAACAAGGAAAACCAAAATGTTTCATTAAAATGTCTCATTAGGCCAGGCACGGTGGCTCATGTCTGTAATCCCAGCACTTTGGGAGGCTGAGGCGGGTGGATCACGAGGTCAGGAGTTCAAGACCAGCCTGGCCAAAATGATGAAACCCTGTCTCTACTAAGAATACAAAAATTAGCCAGGCATGGTGGTGGGTGCCTGTAATCCCAGCTACTCAGGAGGCTGAGGCACAGAATTGCTTGAAGCCGGGAGGCGGAGGTTGCAGTGAGCTGAGATTATGCCGCCACACTCCAGCCTGGGCAACAGAGCGAGACTCCGTCTCAAAAAAAAAAAAAAAAAACTTTCCTCAGTTAATTCTATCAATCAGGTACATTAACAAATCTAGAAGAAACTTGATTGCAATGGCAACCCAGCTTCCCATTCGTTCTCTATTACCACTGTGATCATTAATAGTTACTGAACATGTACTGGGAATTCTAAAGTAATCTTGAATAAATAAGACTCGGGGGTTTTCTTGAGTGATAAGAGAGGCTCATGATCTAACAAAATACATGAACTATTCATTATACTTAAACTGTACTGCTGTGAAATCTAACATGGAGTCCAAATATTTGAATTGATCTCTCTGGCCATGGCCTTAAAAGACTGTAACTTGTTTGTTTTAACTTTAATGAAACCACTTTATCATGAGGTGTAAAACAAAACCTAGTATAGCCAAGGATTTCTCTGTAAGTCTCTGGTAAATCTAACATTCCGTATTAACTGTTAAAGCATTAAAATATTATAAATAGCATGCCAATTTCAAAGTCCTCCAAATCTTTCATTTGTCATAAAGGTGTTTACAGCATCATAAACGTAACTAATACCTGACATCATATATTATTAAAACTGCCATTTACTTCTATAAAAGACTTGACCTATGGTGACTGAACTCTGAAAAATCAGGAAGAGGCTGGCAGTTAGAGAAAAGCAGATCTGTCACATTATTTAGTCAACTCCAGTTCAAATTCCAAGTAACTTACCCTTAACATTTTTGCTGAAATGATCTAAGTAACAAAAGCTCTATAATAAAATTTTTTTTTTGTTTTTACAAAAGCAAAGCTACATATGGTTCCCAAACATAAGTATACAAAATGGAACCCAACTGGTGCAGGTGAAACATCTAGAAAGCATGTTAAAAATGTGGAATCTAATGAATCCCTAAATATCCTAAATTCAAAGTCTGTGTCAAAGTCCTTGGATCCACACTTTCAAAGTCTCACTGATGATTCTGACTACTAGTCAGTCTGGAAACCAGTTATATATTTTTTTGTTAATAATCTCAGTTACTCCCATACATACAAGTTTTTGATTCTCTAGGATCTATTCTCTGGTTAAGAAACACACAGACCTGGCCCAGTGGCTCAGGCCTATAATACCAACAGTTTGGGAGGCTGAGATGGGAGGATCACATGAGGTCAGGAGTTACAGATCAGCCTGGGCAACATAATGAGACCCTGTTTCTACAGAAAATTAAAGAATTAGCCAGGCATGGTGGCATGCACCTGCAGTCCCAGCTGCTTGGGAGGCTGAGGTAGAGGTAGGAGGATCACTTGAACCCAGAAGGTCAAGGATGTAGTGAGCTGTGACAGTGCCACTGCACTCCAGCCCATGCCACAGAGCAAGACCCTGTCTCAAAAACAAAGGGGAAAAAAAAAAGAAACAGACACACACACACATACACACACATACACACACATACACAAACACACAAATTTGGCTATCTCTAGTGAGAACTGTCATCTATTCCTCGGAAATAAGAGCATAACAGGTAAACACATTATTACTACTCAGTTTGGCTGGTTTCAAATCCTGAGCCTAACCAATTATCAGCTGTGTAACTTTGGGCATGTTACTTAACCTCTCTGCCCCTCAGTTTCTTCATCTCTAAATCAGAGATTTAAAATTGTACTTCCTGGCTGGGCAAGGTGGCTCATGCCTGTAATCCCAGCACTTTGATAAGCTGAGGCGGGAGTCAGGGGTTTGAGACCAGCCTAGCCAACATGGTGAAACCCCGTCTCTACTGAAAAAAAAGAAAAATACAAAAATTAGCCAGGTGTGGTGGCACAGGCCTGTAGTCCCAGCTACTCAGGAAGCTGAGGCAGGAGAACCGCTTGAACCCAGGACGTGGAGGTTATAGTGAGCCGAGATCATGCCACTGCACTACAGCCTGGGTGACAGAGCGAGACTCCATCTCAAAAAAATAAAACTAAAATAAAATAAAATCACACTTCCCCATGGGGCTGTTATGAGAATTAAATAATCGAACATGTACAAAACATCTAGAACAGGACCCAAACAGTAACAAGGGATCAATAAACGTTAGCATATTTTCATTATTATCATTATTATTTAATACAGGAAAGAAAGGAGACCGAATTGAACTGGAATAGTCAAACATTTCAGAGAGCAAAGGATACATGAATGTTCCTAGAGGAAGAGATAGGGCTTTAGGGATGATAAGAATAAACAAAAGTAGTATGCAAAAAGAATAAAAAGACTAAGAACTTCAGGGTTCAAAATTGGCATTTTGGACTATAAACTCAAGTTATATTAAACGGGCCCATTTATATGCAACTTGAAAACCAACCAGAGAAATTAAGTAATAATTCAAAAGATAATGGGAAGCTCATACAGTTCTTAAATAAGGCAGTAATATATTAAATATAAGTTTCTAAAATTATTGCCTAGTCAAGATGCTAGCCTGAGGATAAGGAACCAGCCTGAAGGAGAATAAGCCATTGATGAATTTTGGAAATACTTTTGTCTGCTAAAATAGCAAAGAATCACTCAGAGAACTGGACACCAAATAACCAGAATCTTCCAGAATAGACAGAGGTACATTTAAACAAAACAGAAACGTCTACCCTAAAAAGATCAAAACAACCATTTGTAGGATATTTGCAAGTGAGTAGCATAAAGATACTTCAAAGGAATGACCAAAATCATGGAAATTATATGTGTAACACGATAGCTAGCTAGCTAGATATAATTTCTTTCTCCAGAACATTTCTAAGGGGTCCTAGTTAAGGGACAAAACATTTGTTTTCTAAAGGACATCTGTCCTCCGGTAACGTTTTCTCAGAAGAAAAATACTTTCAGAACAAACATACTTTCAGAACATAGTCTGCTCTGGCTAGTGTTATACAGCCTTACTAAATCTCTTAATTCTACCACTTCCAAAAGTTAATATCCCAGAAATCATTTGAAAAATACTGGGCTGTTAATTAGATCTCAATGGAACTGAATCACAACACTTAAATCCCTGATCCAATCAATGGTAAACAGCATTAAATTGTTAATGTCATTACCGTAACTACTTTCTCTTTTCTTCAATTAAAATTTAGCCAGGACAATTATCATGAAGTACAGTGGCCATTGTTAAATCAATCTCTGGACCTTGGGGAAAAAAATGTTTAACAATTCACAGAATCCAAATAACAAGTGTTGCAAATTCTTCTCTAATTCAAAACTCTTCTCATCATATTTAACATTTACAGCAACACACTAAAGAGAAATTCCTCCTTTCCTCATCTTTACTACAAAAAAATATAAATATCCCTGGCATCCTTACTCTTTTTGTTACTATAGTTACCAACACATACACTCTGCTGCTCACACTAGGCTAAAATGAGTAACTACCTTGTGCCACACATTAGTATACCTTCACAATGCCTGACTCACTATGCTACAGAACACTCTATAAACCTACCTGATTTCAGTTAACTTCCATTAGCTAATAAAGGTTGATAATAAAAACACACTGAGTCTCATAAGGGTGAAATTTGCCATTCCTCGGACCATAGTGAACACCTCATAATGGTCAGTCTCCTTGTCACATCATTTAAAAGGAGCTAAAGACTAGAATTCAAAACCACACATACAGTTGACCCTTGAACAACACAGGTTTGAACTGCACGGGTCTACTTACAGACAGATTTTTTTCAATAAAAGTTACACCAAGTGTGCCCAACTCTCCTGCTTTCTCCTGCTTCCCTTCCACCTCCACCTAACCTACCTGGCACACCCTGAGACAGCAAGACCAACCCTTCCTCTTCCTCCTCTTTCTCAGCCTACTCAAAGTGAAGATGACAAGAATGAAGTCCTTTATGATGACTCCCTTCCACTTAATGAACAGTAAATATATTTTCTCTTCCTTATTTTTAAATGTTTTCTCTAGCTTATTTTATTCTAAGAATACAGTATTTAATATTATAACATACAAAATATGCATTAATCAATTGTTTATATTATGGGTAAGGCTTCTGATCAACAGTAGGCTATCAGTAGCTAAGTTTTGGGGGAGTCAAAAGTTACACATGGATTTTTGACTGCACAGGGGGTTGGTGCCCCTAAACCCTGTTTTGTTCAAGGGTTGATTGTATATCAGCCTACTGAACAGATTCCAAAGTTAACAACTTTGAATCTATTAAATGTGATTTGCTTAATTTTCCAAAAAGTCTATGACAGGGCACTATGCCAAAAACACAAAATCTTTTGCCATGTAACTGGGAGTAATAGGTTAAGATAGAGAGGAAGTTAGTTTAGAAATGGGAAACAAATGATGGAGATAATTACTAACAAAAGCTCTGGACGAAAGAATTCAGAAAATGGCATCTTTAAGAAATTAATGGTATCATTTAAAGAAGAGCAGCATGTTTTTATTTCCTAGATTATCTTGCAAAATGGAAAACAAACCACTTGAAAACACAGAAAATCCTTTGTAAAATACTTGTGACTGAGCCCTGTAAAAAGAAGACAGGTGGAAACTGGCCCATCTGATTGGAAATGATCAAGGTCTGTTGAAACTTAGGCTAGCATAGGTATGGGGAAATAGGCATCCTCATATTATGAGCAGGAGTGTCTCTATAAAGACGGCAATATCAGTCAAAATTACAAATGCATACACCCTCTGACTCATCAATTCCATTTCTAGGAATTTATGTGACAAATATACAAATATACAAACATATACACATATATAGGCAAAACTTAAATTCAATGTCAGTAAAAGCAAAAGACTAGAAAAAATTTAAATGTCTACACATATATATATACATATATGGGCAAAACTTACACTGCAGTGTCAGTAAAAGCATAAGACTAGAAAAAAATCTAATTGTCTATCAATAGGAACTGATTTAAAAAATTATGACAAATCCAAACACAGTGTAGTGGTAAAAAAGGAATGAAGAATGAAGATATATTTACTGATGTTGGGTTAAGTGAACAAAATGCCAAAAAAAAAAGTATTTCTATTAAGCATACTATTTGTGTTAAAAGGAGGGTGGGGAGGAGATATACCTATAGATTATCTCTGGAAGTATACTACTAACACAGGTGGCTTCCAGGAGGAGGAAATGAACAGCAGGGCACCAGGAGACATTTCCCCCTATACGCTCGTGTATCTTTTGAATTTTGAACCATATGAATGTCTTACCTAAAGAAAATTAAGCTGGGTGCAGTGGCTCACGCCTGTAATCCCAGCACTTTGGGAGGCTGAGGTGGCTGGATCAAAGGTCAGGAGTTCGAGACCAGACTGGCCAACATGGTGAAACTCTGTCTCTACCACAAATACAAAAAAATTAGCTGGGCATGGTGGCGAATGCTTGTAATCCCAGCTACTCAAGAGGCTGAGGCAGAGAACTGCTTGAACCCAGGAGGTGGAGGTTGCAGTGAGCCGAGATCGCGCCACTGCACTCCCGCCTGGGTGACACGCTGCAGCCTTTTAAAAAGTCCTCTTTATTTTTTTCTCTCATCTAACTTTTTCTTTCTCATTCCCTCCTATTAACATTTCCAGTTCATTTTACTCTCCTCTATTTACGCCTATTAGGGACATTTACTACAACTGCTTAGCCCAGTTGGGAGTCCAGTTACTAAATGCCAACAAGGTTGGTGAACTCTGTTCTAGTAATTGTCATAAAAAATGGGTGACAACATCAGCTATAAAAGAAATCTGAGTATTTACAGAAGGGTAGATAACTATACTTAAACAGGAAACAAAAAAATAAGAAAGGTGAAGGAATAAGGGGATACTCATTCAATATTCTCTGCTTTGTCCATTCTTAGTTTATTACCTTTAAAAAAAAAACCTCTTAATAAAAACAAAGTACGCTAGAAAAGTGATTTTTCCCTCTCTGTTAATTAAGGAACCAAACCTGCCTTCTCAACAAGACTATATAGTGGCCCAACACATAGAATACCTAAAGAATCAGTAGACACCATGGTCACTGCTCTTTAGTTACTTAATGTTTTCTCTTTTCATTTCCATTAGGTCATTTATTTGCAAACAGATCCACATATTGTTATTTCACATGCTAATATCTAGTTTTGTCAAATTTTATGTCACGTACTCAATATTTTTTGCATCTCAGATACTGAAATAAAGGCCTAGAGTCTCATCTGCCAAAGTTGAAACATAATTCTCTCTCATACGATGCTAAATAACTCCTTTTTTGTCTAAAGCAACGTTTGCTTCTAGAAATAACTAAATCATAACTGATTTGTCCTCAATACAGTTGTAACTGGGGGAAAAAGATATAACTGGTCCTGTGGTATATGGGAATCTGGGTAAGAACTACTGCTAACAGGATGTCATAGACAAAGACCACTGTTCAACTGTGTATTCACATGTAGTGTGACTAGCAACTATCATAAAGAAAAGCTCTTTGCCTCAGAAGTTCTAAAAAAAATTGAAAGCTCACAGGCTCCAAATTATTAATAATAATCAAATCTACCTGTATACTTTTTAATTTATAAAGCATTTCCCATACATCAAAGAAAATCAGAAGCTCAAATTAATGAACTGATTTTCCAGCTAAGATTTAAATCCAAGTCATTCCAATATACAGCTGTACATTATCTATTATCTATCTATTCTTAGTTTAAGTAGGTAGATATACCTAACTCACGAGTAGATGAATAGTTACATGAAAACGTTCTTTCCCAAGGTCTAAAGTGCTATTCTTACCTTTTTTTTTTTCTTTTTTTTTTTTGAGACAGGGTCTGGTTCTGTGGCACAGACTGGAGTACAGTGGCATGACTACAGCCCACTGTAACCTTGAACTCTTGGTATCAAGTGATCCTCCCACCTTGTCCTCCCAAAATGCTGAGACTACAGGAGTGAGCCACTGTGCCCAGCCTGCTAGTCTTATTTTATCCAAACCCTACATCGGTTTCCTCCATCAGATACAAAAGTCCTGCCTACCAGTAACATTTCTCTGAATAACTTTTCAAAATGCCCAACGTTTACTAAAATCAAATAAGTGCGTTTTTTTCTAAAACTACTAATTTTCAATTAAAAAATATAAGATTTTCATTTCTTTACAAATCATAGAGCAGAAAAATTTATCCAGAATTACATTGAGATTCCTGACATTTGTGACCACAAAACATATAAAACTGCCACATGGGAAAAGACAGGTCTCTGAACTTCACACAAAAGGTAATTAATATTTTTAAAGCAGAGTGAACACACATGTGAAATATACATCATATAGTTATACAAACTAAATTAATTTTCTAACTTGGCATAATGACAGGGTAGCTTGGAGGGAATATAAAAGAAAATACTCAAGAGCTTAAAATTAACAATGGGCCCATTTATTCAAGGTAGGATGGCTCTCTCATTTCAGCTTGAGGACTGAAAGTCTTTCTGTCTTCCGGTAGGAGGGAAACTGCAGCTGGCAGGTCTGGAGAATCGCTCAACTACATTCACAGCTTTACTTGGAGTCAAGCAATGGCAAGAAAAGTCTTCATCTTCACTAGGCACTGGACAACACGGAGAAATGCTGACTTTGAGGTGTTTAAATTTCATCCTTTGAGGATCAGTTCAATTAACTTCTCCTAAAGGAAACCAACCCCCACAAACAAAAGATTTACACCCACTGAAACTGAGAAACACTTATCAGAATCTGTCATTTCATAGAATATTGACTTGTGACAGGTCTTACGACACTGTCTAGTTCTATAGCACTGTGCTTATTTCTTTTCCATCCAACCTTTGTACTCCCCACTTTGTATCTTCTTCAGTGGCTTCTAGGAAGTATTACTATAACTACTGAATCAATGAATTCATAGCAAAGTGTTTCACAATTCTGTCCTTCTCTGTTCTGTGTTAGACTCCCAAACAGGGCTCCATAATCCAAGCAATAGTAAGTTTCTTCTGCTTTTCAAATCCAATTAGAATTTTGTCCAAGCTTATAACAATTTATCCTCCCCTAACTCTTGAGAATCAAAGTCATTGTTATTTAGATGTTAAAAAGTTTGACCTAATTCTTATCTCTTAAAGAAACATCTAAAATGTGTTTACAGAGAATTGGGATATCATCTTCAGGTAATCCAAATATTGACAGTGAAGAAAAGAGCCCAAACATAATGAGAAAGTAACACACAGCAGAGTATTTCAACTTTAGGATATAACAACTTAAAAGATGTTACTCACAAATATATAATCTTTATCAACTGGCCAAAATATAGCCTTGAATTATCCAACAAGTCTCCTATTTCTTGTTATAAAATATACTGGCAAAAACCAACAAACCCACACTGCTACAATGAAACCCATCCTCACATTCCATGGCTTCAGGGCAATTCCATAAACACAGGATCATAAAAAGACAGCCTGCAAACTTAGGTAGCCCGCACTCCATTTTAAGGATCGGAAATTAAATGACATGTGATCATCCAGCTACAGCAACCTGAGGATCTTTTTAAAAAGCTAGCAGGAACTGGCAATCTTATGTTAGAAATCCACCAACAAAACAGTATACAAAATTCATACAATACAGATGATGAAGAAATTTGAGTCCAACGTGAAAATGTTATAGCTTGTATGCTTTAGGATACAAGTTGTATTCAGCATATTCACATGCTGATACAACAAAATCTAAAGAAAATGGAATGTTCAAGTCCCTGCTAGTGGCTTATCTCATAACACAATTCGATACACCAGAGCTCCAGTGTTATAAAGGAATGTAAATGACCCTTTGGAGTTCAACATAATAATACCTAATCAGAGGAAAAATTGCACAGTTTTGAACTCTAAAGATGCAGATTCCCAGCTAAGTACAAACTTCTGATTTTTTTTCCTTTCTTAATTTCAGTGGACAATAAGTTTAAAAAAACAAAACAAAACCATAACTGTATGTTCCCTACAACTACGGGGGTTAAATATTTAATGTTTCAAGTCTCTAAATAGTTTTCTTTTTAAAGTTTATAATATTATTATAAAAGATAATTGAGAGACTGCCAGACCTTGCTAAGAATTTCATGTGCATTATTAAAGTAAGTGAATCATTAAATTACATGTTTTAAGCATGCTTTCAGGTTTTAATTGTTTCTTGATACTATTAATTAAAGAACCTGATGACCAGTAATATCCCAGTAATTTTACATAATTAAGGCAGAAAAAGTATAACCAAAGAACTAATTAAGATGAGAGTAAGTTAAAAATTTATAACATTAACAATCTTACCACAATATAAATTAGTTATTAAACGCAAACCTTTATTAGGCAATGTTACTAGGCATATTTAAACCACACAAGGGGTTAAAAATAACTACAATGAAAGGCCAAGAGCCTAGCAGCCCGATTGAGCCAACATTCCCTTCTCTCCTTCCCCTCCCCTTCCAATCCTCTCCAGTCCAGAATGAATTGCATGCCCCACTGCACAAGGCCCAAAAAGGTCACAGTAGATGGCAGAGACTTTTGTAAGAGAACAGAAATAACTCAGCAGCTTTGTTACCATAGTCTCTTTTAATCAGTATGTTCAAAATCCTTTAATTAGCACTCTGTCTACACAAGGAAAGCATTTCTTCTGTGCCAGGGGAGGGCACATATGTATGTACACAGTGTTCTGTTGTATCAGCATCACAACATGGAGCTAGTACCTCAAACTGTCTGCCAGGAAACTGAAGCACATGAAACTTTTTTAAAGACACGGTACCACAAAATTCGCAAACATACTCTATTTGCATTTCTATTACCACACAACAAAGTGATAATTAAGTTTGGCTCATTTAGGTGTCAATTTGTTTCTGAACTTTTTTTCAGCAAAAAAGTAAGCATTTAAACTAATAACTTTCTTTAGATAATTAAAGTAGAATATTTAAAATATAAAATGCTAACAAAACGTAAAAACCAATAATACTCAAAGATTGCTCCTGTTCCCATAATAGATCATCAGTAGAAGAAATAAAATACCAACTCACTCAAACAGGAATAAATCACATGACACATTTTCACATGGATGCTTTACATTTAAAATTTCATCTAACCATGAAAGGTGTTAAAACTTGCAGGCTGGATTACATATATATACTTCCTTATAAAATCTAATTAACTGAAATCAAGGCAGAAATTGATGATAAATTAAAGATAACTTTAAAAAAATCCACAGCCAAGAAACAAAGGAGACTCCGTTAGTAAAATGGGATTTGCAGTATTTTAATAAGGATATTTAGGCGTTACAAACTTATTTTTAATCTTTCAAAATGAAGTTGGATACACATACAAGATGCAGAGTATGTGTGTGTATATATATTTATACATACACATATATTATTAACCAAAATGACAATCTTCTAAATATCTGATTAAAGAAACAACTAACTAAATTTAAGGTAAAGTGAATTATTAAAGAGGCAGCACAGCATAACTGTTGGAAAGCCAGCTCTTCCATACAGTCATGTGAGCGCACAGCACAGTTATATACAATGGGAATAATATCACTATTTTGCATGTTGGTATGATAATTAAATGAGATGATGCATTCACAGCACTTGATAAATATCCAAGTTTGTTGGTAAGACTGGCACAAAAATAGTATTTTCATGCGTTGCACAAAAGTGTAAATTGGCACAACCTTTCAAAATGACGTAGATACATATATTCACATATATATGTATGTACTTATATTTGGTATTCACTGTACCACTGTAACAGTAATATGGAAATGCCACAAATACTCTTCAGTAGGGGATTGGTTAAATGTCACTTTCCTTATAAAATAAAATTATACAATTGTTTTAAAAAAACACACATACCTCCTTATATATTAATAGAGAATGATCTCAGGGTAAATTGTTGCAAAAAAAAGCAAAGTATAAAACAGTGTGGGCCAGGCACGGTGGCTCACGCCTGTAATCTTAGCACTTTGGGAGGCCGAGGTGGGCAGATCACCTGAGGTCGGGAGTTCAAGACCAGCCTGACCAACATAGGGAAACTTGGTCTCTACTAAAAATACAAAATTAGCCAGGCGTGGTGGCACATGCCTGTAATCCCAGCTACTCGGGAGGCTGAGGCAGGAGAATCGCTTGAACTCGGGAGATGGAGGTTGTGGTGAGCCGAGATTGCGCCACTGCACTCCAGCCTGGGCAACAAGAACAAAACTCTGTCTCAAAAAAAACTGTGTGTATAATATGCCACCATTTGAGTAAAAGAAGATGGAAATTCATATTTATTTGAATATGCAAAAACAAACCTTTTAGAAACTTATATAATAGTAATAATTACCTACTGGTGATGAAAGTGAAACAGTACCTGACATATAGTCAAGTCTCAATAAATAGAAGCTTTAATTACTCCTCTCATCAGTGCTATCATCATCATCATGAAAACATATCCTTAAAATATATACACAGAATACATTCAAACTAAATCCATAATGAGGTAAAAAGCCAAATCTCAATTATTCATAGGCTATCTAGTTGGAGCTCCAAGCCCTTCATTTCCTCTTCAAGGGTAAGTAGCTTTTGGCCATCTTACTGTTGGCTATCACCTCCACCAGAAAGTGAGCTGAGGAAATAATTCCGAAACAATCATTTTATTCAATTTTGATCAACAGTTTTTAACAAACAGCTTTTGGAACTGAAAGAGATTATTAAAATCCCATAGCACAACCTTTGAAAATTATATATGAAAGAACGAAGATTCAGAGAATTCCCCAAATTAGGGACAGTTCAAAAATGTACAGTCTGTTCCTAGTTAAATGCTTTTTCCATTTTATTATTGATAACATGGGGGAAAACGAAAAGAAGTTAAATTGAAGTCAGTTATCCTTGCTAAATCTACTCCCCTCATCCTTTATTATAGATAATCAAATTTGCCAAGATCAAATCCCAGGAGCAATGATAATAAGTAGAGTACAGGTCAACAGAGAATTAAACAACTCAGCCCGAGGACTAAGCACTGAATGAACATCTATAATAAAATTTGTAAAGTTTACTTACACTAGAGATTGTCAGAGGCATGTTGAAATCCTTACCGCCCTGCAGCCGGAAACCCCAAGGAGCTGGGCCAACCAGTGACACACTGTAGTTGCTCATGGTTCTAATGGCTCAAAGTCCAATGACAGAAAATGAAATATGCTGTGAAAGAAAATCAGATGATTAGCAAAAATGTTTACTTGAAACCCTAGAACATAAATTATGTTTAGTATTTTGTTTGAGGGGGGTGAGAGGATATAGAAGATAAGTCTTAATTAAGTTCTTCATTAATTTCAGTTTAAGAAAAGCAATCTGTGAGCTAATATAAATTTTCTACACTCATGGCAATTTCCATGGTCTAAAAATTCCATATCAGAATACATTTCTAGACACTTAGTATGTTTCACAACTTGCTTCAATCCAATTTTGTGGCTTCTTGCATGCAAAGTTTAACTCAAAGTACTTTACAATACTTCACTAATGTAGCAAGATTTTATTTCAGGTTGAATTCAGAATAATTTTCTCCTTCCCTCCACTTCATGTATTCTTTTGTCTGCAATTGACAAGAGTCTTTCAACTGCACTTACTTAAATTCTAAGTTACTCTAACATGTGAAAGAGACTGCAAATCAGTAGGCTCCCATTCATGCTTTCCAAATACTAAATTCTTTACAATGAGAAGCTGTTTTTCAATGCACAAAACTATTCTCTCCAATCATGAACTACAACTTGTATTTCCTCCTATGGGGACATGGTATTTTCCACACTTAAAGTGATATCTACTTTTCCTTCAGATAGTCAACGATAGGCAATACTCTAGTACAGTGATGTTAGTCACAACCTGCTTTTTGTTTTATACACACACCTCACCAGGCAGAGAGTAAGCATTTGCCACTCAGTGAATAAGATTATGACTAAATACAGCAAAAGTGCTGGGTTAATGCATTCAAATGGAATTGGCAGTTTAGAAAAGAACCAGTGCTTCGGTGCTTTCTTTTGTCTGTTCTGCTGTTAAGTGTGCGTGTGATGACTCTCCTAGTAGTACTTTCATATAATTTTTAAAAAGCAAAAAAAAAAAAAAAAACTTCGAGTTTCCTATTGGTTGTTATAACGGCAGGAGACAGAGGAATGAAGTTTTCTTTTGTTTTAATGGAATACTAAGAAACAATAATTCTCTCTCTTTAAAAAATATTAAAAACATAACAGATATGTAATTTTATATTAAAAACATACTTCCTTGGAAAATGTAAGCTATTCAACCAAATCACCACCTAATATTACCTGTCTTAAAATATGTTTTAACCCATTCAAAATTTCTAGCCCATCACCCCAAATTCATAGTTGCAGATATAGATATTTGAGCCATAGGTATATTTAAAGCAAACATTCCTTCTTCTCATAAAGGGAAAATGGGGCAAAACATTCAAATAAGCCTGGTTTTTAAAGAAAAATTATATCAGGGAAAATAAAAATTACAGAAAATTGTATCAGAAACCGAAACAGCTTTTCTACTGGCGTGGTAGTATACTGAACTACAAGGCAATAACACATTACTTCAGTAATGAAGTAATAGGCACAGAGCACTAAAAAAGATCCAAAGGCCAAGCCGGAAGTCAAACTGTATATATAGGTGAAAAACTACTAGTGGGAAGCTAATAACGAGCCACACATAATTCAATTGCTTTCCCGCTATAAAAGGAGGAGATTTTCAGAAAACTAATAGAAGGACTGTCCTGATATTGACACGATACAAATCAGAATCGTGTAAAGCCAACTGATATTTCACAGGCAGCCTGCCCTCCTTTATTAATCTTTAACTTGTGTCTGGGGAATAATATGAAAGTTGGGCTCAACTTCCTCTGGCCCCATTCTTCCCTACAAGAAAATGTATTTCATTTAGATTATCAACCCATGTACTTGCAACTTCCCTTTACTTGGGGATTCCCTTCCTAACTTCTCTCATTTGTTATTAAAATTCCTAGCACTGGCAAGGTCACAGCCACACTACAAAACCAGTGTCATTTCATTTCTAGTCACTGTCCGTTCATTTCTAGATGCTTCTTCTGCTAGCTTCATTTGGAATTCATCTGCCTTAAAACAGTCTCTGCCCCAAGCAATGGCAATATTTTTATTGGCCTTTCCAAGACTCCTCCATCTGGTTATTAGTGCCCAAGCCCTTCCTCAAATACCAAGCAGGCAGGAAATAGCAGCATACTCTTTCAAACACGTCGAAAAGGTTGGAATTTCTGTAGAGTTATGGATTTTCTTTTAGGGAAAGTCTAAACAATGTCTTTGCTCTAGTACTAGGGAAGGAAGCTTGGTATTTCCCACACTTGTATCTCAGCTTCATTAGTGGGTGAGAGGGGAGAAAGGAGAACTCAAGATGAACTACACAGAGTGACAAAAAAAAAGGCCTGAAATTAAAGAGAAATATCTTGAGATTCTCTTTCCCCGCAATGGAGAGAGAATGTAGGTAGAGCTGAAGAACTAAAGCCACAGGCACAGGATGAAAGCAGCCGACAGGACAGTTTTCCAGGAGGGATTCGCGCCTAGCCTTGTTGGCCAAATAAGGCTACCGAACGGGCCGTTTCCGTGGCAGGCGGGTTCAGACGTCCTCCCCGTCAGGAAGGCGGACTTGGGATAGGATCTGGCGATCACACCCTAAATCTGCCCTGCCCAGCGCCGCCACGAATTTTCCTTCCAAGCTCTGCCCTGTCCACACGCCCTTCCTTTTTCCACTTATTGTAAAACGCACCGAAGGCACAGTCTTACAAAAGCCCCAACAAGTACTCAAGTGTTAACAAATCTCGTGTTCATGACAAATGTGTTTCTTAAACGAGCTTTATTTCTGGACGCGCAGAAGTTTTCCCCAAACAGGTTACACAAAACTGTAAATATCTGGGGGAGAAATAAATGCTTCTCAGTAGCCTGGGAGCAAAGAAAAACTAACGCGCCTTTTCCTTTGAGTCCCGCTTCCTACCCTCCAAGAGACTGGCGCAGGACTGGGCACTCAGACACCACACCACGGTGGTGCCGGGCGACGCCGGCAGCCGGGTGGGTGGGAGCGGCAGTGCCCGTCCCTGCCGGCCCTCGCCACCTCCGGGCGCCCTCCCGCGTCCCCGTCTCCGCTACGCTGGTCCCGGTCGGCCCGGGCTGCGGGGACCCCAGGGCTCGCCCTCTGGCCTCATGCGGACTCCAGCGCTGCCCTTTTCCGGGCGCTCCTTTTCCCAAGCTGCTCTCCCACCTCCGCCGCTCCGCGCCCAGAAAGCACCTGAGGAGCCATCCCTGCCCGAGGAGCGCCCCCTCCTCGTCCCCAACCGGGCTTCCCTTCTCGCGTTCGGCGCACAGCGGCCGGTTCTTTCCCTTCTCCCACCGGAGATCCGAGAGGCGCATCGCCGGCCGGCCGCCACTCACCTCGGGTCCGGCGCGGCGCGGGGCTGCCTCCGCCTCAGACAAGGGCTGACAAGTGACTCGCGGTGAGGGCGCCGTCCCCACCGCCCGCGGGAACTTCCGCCTCCTGGCTCTCCCTCGCCCCACCCCCGACCCAGGACACGCCCCTCCGCTCCCGGCCACGCCTCTGGGCCAGTCCCAGCCGCGCCGCGCAGGGGCGGGGAAGGTGGCGGCGGCGCCGGGCGCTCGGGCTTGCTGGGGCTGGCTGAAGCAGCTGCGGAAAGACAACTGCGCTACCGAGTTTCGGTGGGAGTAGTCTTAGCGGATTTTGAGCGCTACCTGGCAAAGGTCTAACCCTCCGCTCGTCCGTTTTGTAGTGGGTGCATTTTTCTCTCCAGAAATTTAAATTGGCAAGCAGTTGCTCTGCCTAAAAATAGAAGGGTACTTTGGATAAATCTCTATCTATGCAAGTTCAGCGGTTACTGCCTGCGTTTTTTTTTTTGAAAGAGCTTTACATGCTCTGAAAAGTGCAGACCCAGAAGTTTACCTGTCAGGAAGGTGAAAACCAGTAACCCTAACAGAAGTTAACCCTGTCCATCACACCAGAAGACAGTGATACATAAAAGCGGCCAAAAGTGATTCAACCACTGTATCTTCAGTTTATTTTTCTAAATCCAAATCAATAGTCCACTTTCCAGCCTTCTATAGGGTTGCTTGATACGCCCGAGGAATTTATTCATAAGAAAACGTGAATAATGTTCACTGAACATACGGAAAGTAACTAGACTGTTACACTGTGAATTGGCTTATAAAACGTGAAAAGGACAATTCTTAACCAAGGAGCATATAAAGCAAGGATGAACTTCATGAGGTCCGTGAGCTCCCCGGCCCCCAGAAGTGCAAGCAAAATTCCAAAGGCGAAGATCCAAAGCTGCTCTTTCCCTAACGGTAGCCACTGGCCACATGTGGCTATCGAACAGTTGAAATGTGGCTACTGTAACTGAGACCATGAATTTTTTGTTTTACGTAATTTTAAATAATTTAACATTTAAAACTGAAGCAGGATAACATTTCTTTACTTTTTTTTTCTTTGAGACGGATTCTTGCTCTGTCTCCCAGGCTGGGATCAGTGGTGCAATCTCGGCTCACTGCAACCTCCACCTCCCGGGTTCAAGCGATTCCCCTGCCTCAGCCTCCTGAGTAGCTGGGATTACAGGCGTGCGCCACCACGCCCGGCTAATTTTTTGTATTTTTAGTAGAGATGGGGTTTCACCATGTTGGCCAGCCTGATCTCGAACTCCTGACCTCAGGTGACCAACCCGCCTCGGCCCCGCAAAGTGCTGGGATTACGGGCATGAGCCACCGCGCCAGGTCGTTAACATTTCTTTTAAGCACTACATTTAAGGACTAAAGTTGAAAATATAATGCCCAAATTGAAATGCGTTGGAAGTGTAAAATGCACACTGGATTTCGACGACTTGGTATGAAAAAATAATGTAAAATGCCTCAATAATTTTTATATTGATTATATGCTGAAATCATCATATTTTATGTTTTGTTAAATGATACATGATTATGGCCGGGCGCGACGGCTCACGCCTATAATCCCAGCACTTTGGGAGGCTGAAGCGGGTGGGTCACCTGAGGTCAGTAGTTCAAGATCAGCCTGGCCAACATGGCGAAACCCCGTCTCTACTAAAAATACAAAAATTAGCCGGGTGTGGTGGCGCATGCCTGTTATCCCAGCTACTTGGGAGGCTGAGGCAGGAGAATCACTTGAACCCGGGAGGTAGAGGTTGCAGTGAGCCGAGACCATGCCACTGCCCTCCAGCCTGGGCGACAGAGCAAGACTCCGCACCAAAAAAAAAAGAGTAATAATAATAATATTTGATTAAAATTAATTTCACTTTTTAAAAAAAATGTGGCCACTAGATAATTTAAAATTACTTACGTGAGCAGGGTGCAGTGGCTGACACCTATAATCCTAGCACTTGGGAGGCTGAGGTGAGAAGATGGCTTGAGGGCAGGAGTTTGAGGTTAACCTAGGCAACATAGCAAGACCCATCTCTAAAAAAATCCAAAAAATTAGCTGGGCGTCGTGTAGTGTGCCTGTAGTCCCAGGTCCCAGCTATTTGTATTGCTGAGCCCAGAAGTTCGAGGCTGCAGTGAACTATGATCTTGTCTTTGCACTCCAGCCTGGGTGACAAAGGAAGACCCTGTTTCTAAAAAAATAAATAAATAAAATTACATATGTGCTTCACATTATATTTTCATTGGACAGCACCAGTCCATAGCTTTCACCACATTTTTCAAAAGATGGCTTTGGGGGAAAGTGTTTCCTAGTGTGAAAGCTGGTTTAGAGAGTCTAATATATGTTATCATGTTTGACATCTCACCCAAAAATAAAAAAAAAATAACAATAGCTACCATTAGCAAATACCTACCATGTGCTATGCAGTGTGGTAGTCCTTACAAGAACTTTATAAAATGAATGTCATCCTCATTTATAGATAATAGGTCGCAAGCAATTACAGCTTCTGCCAGTTCCACAGGGCCATGGCTCGAGTTAACCTCTAGGAGTCCCAACTCTGCCCCTTCTCATCTGTTTGCTGTTGATACAGTTAAATTGATCCTGGATCAACAAAGATTAATTTAAAGACATCAACTGCAGATAGCCTATGGAGTTATCACTAGAGGATAAGCTTCTTGAGGTGATGAGGAAGAGTTGAGAATGGGCAGACTGTTGCTTACTTATGCAAATTCCACTTTACCCCATAATTGCTAGCCTGTCTCTGAACCTCCTCCTACTACTGCAGTTTAAATCCTGGGCTACAGAGTAAATTAACCAAATTAAGTTGTCTTGCATAGACTGATATTTATCCAAGTGTCCTAAAAAGGACCGATTGCATCAAAATGACACGGATAGCTTGTTAAAATTGCATTTTCCTGGATCCCCTCTGGACTCAGAATCCTTGTAGGTGAGCCCTTGGAATCTTTTTAACAAACACTCCCTCCCCACCTCCAGGTAATTATTAAACTGCAGTGCTTAAAAACTACTTCCCTAGAGATAGTGCTATGTCTCCGGTTTAATGTGCACTGTGCTCAGTTAAGAACCATGCATTCCAGATGGTAGCAACTTATCTGTTTCCTCATCTTAAAGGAAATGATCATTGTAAATAACCTTGTGAGATTATCATGAGGAATAGAGATAATATATATAAAACATTACACAGCATGCTTCGCACCAAGTAAGGATTAAATAAATGGTAGCCATATGAAAACTTTCCTAACCAATTGATTAGATTTATTTGTGTATCATAAAAAACAAGTAGAGAACTTTGACTTTCATTATCCAAGTACTATGTTCTTGGTGCCCTATGTACATTATTCTACTTAATTCTTACAACCATATAAAGTAGACTTTTTTCAGAGGAAGAAATAGAAACTTGGAGATTAAGACATTTAACCTAGGGCACACGCCCACAGCTAATCAGTGATGGTAGTAGAGCAAAAGGTCTGATTCCAAAAACCATGTTACTTTCATCGCAACACACTGTCTCTTGGTAAATTCAGTAAGCCATCCAGACCAAAGACCTGAGGAAGATGGAATGCTTTCGAAACTAACACTGCTGAGGGCCATAGAGGTGTAAGCCATAGCAAATTATGGAAATAAAATAACTGCTGAGTAATTTGTATATGAGGGAAGATGAAACTCCTGAGCCACTTCAGGAGGACATATGCCTTAACTTGTTTTATAATGAATTGCCACGGGGCCATTCTGACTCCCCTTGTCTGTTTCCCTCATCACTAACATTTATGAAATGGTTGGCCATGGTCTGAAGGACAGCCTGTGACTACAGACGATCAGAAGTTACTGGTCCATTGGGAAATCAAACCAATGTCCTTGGCCTCATTAACTCTATAGGGCTAAGTAATGAGGCACTGACCACAAAGGAAAACATATTAAAAGCTTCATTTTATCATAATCAGGGAAAGAAAAGCTGGGTTGGGGGGTGGGGGAGAAAGAGATCAAAAGATTAACTTACTTAGCAGGAAGAGTTTTTAAGAATAGTCCCTCTAAACACAGTATTTACCTAAGCATATAAATGTTTTCTCTAACATTTTATTATCCAATCTATGACTCAGAACCTCTTGTAGCACTTCAAAAATAACAGAAACTTAATTACAACATGACATGGCTGTGACAAGTTTTTACAGTTGCACCCAATAAACTATGAAGTGCCAGTCTTTTAAAAGTTCCTATATTACTGAGTCAATTTATCTTTTAAGTCCTAATCCTGGAAGGTAAATAAACCACTCATGAGCATTTAAATTTTAAAATCTAGAATGGAAAAGAAGCATTAACTATTCTAATAACTAAAGAAACATTTGGTAATTTAGGGAGAAAAGATAGAAGGCACAGTGTCATTCTAAAGTTTACTAAAGAATCCTGGGAGAAGGGCAGAACTAAATCAGGCATGGAGAGAGTGGAAAGGAATAATGGAAAAGAAAGACTGTAAGAGCAGATCCGTGAAGCCTAGGGTAACTGAGAAAATGTGTAATTGAGGAAGAAGGCAAAGTTTAAACTAGCCTCAGGGATTCAAGTCTCAGTTTGGTGGGTGGTATTCATAACTGATATTGACTGAATGGAGAGGAGCAAGGAACTATGCATTTTACTGGCAGTTTCTAGTAAGGAAAAAAAAAGGCAATTGGTTGGTTAGTGAGGGGTAAAAATAAGAAGGATAGATAGGATGGACACTGAAAAAAGGTATCAGAGAGTCCCAAACTTGAGATTTCAGAAGTAGAGGAATATTCCTCATGATAAGATCAAGGTTCAGTCAGTCTGATGTTTTACTCAGATAAAGTCAGTTCACTGAGGAGTCCGGTGAGTGGTTGAGAGGATAGAGAATATGTAGGAGCGATTTTGGAGATGAGATGGAAACTAACATGTGGGTCAATAATTGTAAAAATATGTTATATGAAGACATTACAGTAACTACTCCATTATATTCAGAAGGTACATTTCAAGACCCCTCGTAGATGCCTGAAACCAGAATAATACCTAACCCTACATATACTATGCATGAATTTCTTTTTCATTCACTATTTCATGGATAGAAGATTCATTCTTACCATAGATCTTAGTAACTTCAGCATACAATTTTTTTATTTCCTTATTAAGTCAAGAACTTTCACCTTTTCACTCAAAGGAAGTGATTTATGGTTTCTCTTTGGCATGTCCGAAATACCAGCATCACTACTTTTATGCTTTGGGGCCACTATTAAGTAAAATAAGGATTACTTGAACATAAGCACTGCCATACAGGGACAGTAGAACTAATAACCAAGATGGCTGCTAAGTGACTAACAGGGTGGGTAGTATATGCAGCATGAATATGCTGGACAAAGGAATGATTCATGTCCTGGGTGGGATGGAGCAGGACGGTGTGAGATTTCATCACACTACGCAGAACAGCATGCAATTTAAAACATGAATTTTTCTAATGGAATTTTTCCATGGAATATTTTTGGACTGCAGTTGACTATGAGTAACTGAAACTGCAGAAAGTGAAAACATGGATAAGGGGGGACTACTCTATTTTAAGAACATTAAAGTAAGAAATGGACCTGGAGCAGAATTTCCCAATTAGTTGATTGTGCCAAGAAATTAATCTTCTCAACCTGGGAGGTGGGGCATACTGGAATTGGAAGCCTCATCCATTTCCCCAGTTTCCAAGTTTGCCTTGATGTGAAAAGAGTTGAGAAGCACTGTGTTAGGATACCAAAAAGAGATAAATGAAAAGATCATTAGCTTTATGTACTCATCATAATGCCTTCCATGTTTCTACTAACGAGTTAAGAAAAATGTGAAAAAAAAAAGGACACGGAGAATGCTCACTGTGATAATGCTCAGTTAGAAAGATCTTACTTATAAAAGGTAGTAGTAGAAGACACCCTGCTCATACCACTATACAGAGTCCTTTATTAAATTATTTTCAATTAAACACATTTGAGTATACCATCGATTTCCTCTCAAGACCCTGACTAACACATTATAGGTGACTCTTTTAATCATCAACACCTTTGCATAAATCACTAAAATGCTATGCACTCTTATTTAGTGTCTATCATGCACCAAAGATATAAGTGATGTCAAAAGCAAATTCATATGTTGGAAAAATATTGGAATTTTTGCTTTTTGGATTTTTTAAATTGCTGACTTTTTAAATTAGACACTTTATTTTTTAGAAGCATTTTCATTAAAGTGGTATGGTATAACCCACCATCATTTAAAATCTTGAAATAAATATCTTTTTTTTTTTTTGCATTATCAACTTTCTAACCAATAAAAGAGCTAGTACCAACTGTGAATATTCTGAATCACAAAATTTTTTTTTTGAGACGGAGTCTCACTTGCCACCAGACTGGAGTGCAGTGGGGCGATCTCAGCTCACTGCAACCTCCACCTCCCAGGTTCAAGCAATTCTCCTGCCTCAGCCTCCCAAGTAGCTGGGATTACAGACACGTGCCACCAAGCCCAGCTAATTTTTGTATTTTTAGTAGAGACAGGGTTTCGCCACGTTGGCCAGGATGGTCTTGATCTCTTGACCTCGTGATCTGCCTGCCTTGGCCTCCCAAAGTGCTGGGATTACAAGCGTGAGCCACTGTGCGCCTGGCCATTAATTGGCTTTTAAATCTCAGTTTGGTTTTTGGTCCCGAACTACTGATCTAATCTTTGCTGATTCATTAGATAGTCTTTCTCATTTCTGGATTTAGAATTTCTGAAGCTTTTCCATGGATCTTTCTATCAATAGCAGGGCTTTGAGGACATAATTATTAAGAAGGCAAATGTACAAATGAGGTCTTAAAGTAAGTGGCATTTTGGATTAGAAAGGTCCTTGGAGAAACCTAATCTTAACATGCGTTATTTACAGGAAAATCTCTCCACTCGAAAAATAGCACCTCTACTAAGTGTTTTTAAAATCCATTTATATACTCTGGGAAAGCAAGGAAACTAATATTTTGGTTGGAAGGTACCCACATTTATAGTCATAGTGGAATGCATTAAGGCATGTCATTCCTAGCCAAAATGTAAGGGATATAGTCCTAAGAGTGATGAATCAATGCATTAAAAATCTGATTAAAGCATAGAATTGTTTCTAAAATAAGAAGTACTATGAAAGAATGATTGTGGATCAATAACATATACTAAAACTAGACTATCCCACTGATAATATTTAATTTACACATCACAAGAAATTCTGCCAGTCTGTGCAATATGCACATACCTATCAACATTTAATTTCATAAAATTAATTCTGGGAGTATTCTCAAAGCCACTTTCTCTCAGCTGTGAAAAGTTAACAGATGAAGAAAGTAAGCAAGACAATTTTTTAAACTATGGGATATGAAACTGGAATCTAAATATTTTCATGATCTGATTATTCCACATGACAAAATGTTTTCTAAACAATACTCTAGCCAAAGTTTGAGGCCTGCTTCTTCTCAAAATTTAAAGGTATGAACAAAATAACAG
This sequence comes from Homo sapiens, assembly GCF_000001405.40. Taxonomy (NCBI): domain Eukaryota; kingdom Metazoa; phylum Chordata; class Mammalia; order Primates; family Hominidae; genus Homo; species Homo sapiens. The sequence goes on along the minus strand of NC_000004.12, from coordinate 94,444,482 downwards.
GAGTTTTGCTAGGTATGAATAACAAAATCTAACCATTTTCAGTTAAATATTATTTTACACATTAATGCTTACATTTTAAAATTCATGGAAAAAGTGCAACTATAAATGTTATCAATAGTTGCCCTCTAGGTGGTGAAACTTGCTGTCATTTTATTATACTTCTATTTGCTTTTTATACTTTCCAAATTTTCTATGAAAATATTTTACTTTTATAATAAACTAAAAATTAGGAGTAGCAGTATTAGTACATATCAATACACATAATGTTGTTATATACACTTACTTTGGTTATAAAAATTCATATACATATAACAAATACCTGTGGAACAAATGGGAATTTTGAATTATAACAATTTCTTATTAAACATTTAATAAAAGCTAAATACTCTTTTGAATCCTTCGTATATATTGACTTATTTCATCCTCACAGCAGCCTAGATACTTACATTATAGTTTCTTCAGATAAGAAAATGAAGACACAGGGTTAATGTAACTTGCCCACAGTTGTTCATCTAGCTAGTATAGGCAGACGCAGGTTTTAAAGCCAGACAATCTGCCTATATGAGTATGTACTTAACTAAAATACATGGCTGCTGTTACAGAGTATATTATGGAAGTTTGTATCTCTGGAATTCTCTTTTTTTTTGAGACGGAGTCTTGCTCTGTCGCCAGGCTGGAGTGCAGTGGTGCGATCTTAGCTTGCTGCAACCTCCACCTCCCGGGTTCAAGTGATTCTCTTGCCTCAGCCTCCCAAGTAGCGGATTCAGGATCTAATTCAGGATCATAAACTTTCTTGACTATTTTTATGTTTTGCGTAAGTGACACACAGCATTAGGTAAACTACAATAAGGTAAAATGATTAATTATAATAAAAGTCACTTCAGGATTGGGAGCTAAATCCCTAAATCTCATTGTGAAAAATATTTACTCAAATCGTTTAAGCTGAAACCCTTATTTCTTTTAAGATTTATAGCCTTTCCTACAGAAAGGGGGCTCTTGATAATAATAACTTATTTTTCAGTATGCGAAAAAGCAGAAAAATCAAATTTAAATCTTCACAGAATGTTTGGTTTTCTCTATGAATTTCTTCTAGGAAGGAAAATATGGGGACATATATATGGTTGTTCCATTAATACCAGTCAAACATCCAAATTAAATCTAAAAAATAAAATATTTACAAGTTTGGTCTAGGTAGAACCAAACTATTAGACATTTTAATTATGTAATTTTATTTTATTTTAAAATTTAAACCGAGTACTTGATATGGACACACCTTAATCAATCTTCATAGAGCAGTCTTAATCACTTATATTAAATGTTAAAAGACAATTTTGATAATTTTTTAAACAAACACTGTGAACACACCAGTTAAAGAAATACAAAAAGAGTACTGTGAAAAACATAGGCAAAATAAATACCACATTTTCCAAATTAACATCAATTGAAACATGTATTGGACCGATAAGTCTCTGGAAGAGATTTAATCTTCCAGAGGGGGGAAAAAACTAAAGACATTTCTAGTTTTCTTTATATTTATCTGGTCAGATTCCTTGACAAATTCTTGTTGTCTTGTTATATTTAATATAGTTTTATATTAATTTATAATTTATATTATTTAGTAAATTTGTTATTTGGAAACATATTATTAAATGTATATATATAGTGGCAATTAAATCAGTGTGTCATCATTTTAGAACTTAGACCCTGTAACACTAAAGTGTTTCTAGCCCAAAGATGGAAATATATATAAATTTTGGGGATATATATAAATACAAGGGGATCGAGACCTTGCATAAAAAAAAAAAAAATCCAGCTTCTGATTCTTTCATCAATACAGCAGAAACACATTCCCCCTAGGAAAATAAAAATGCTACCTCTTTAAAAACACTTCAACATGATTAGCAAGGGCAAATGAGTAACAATCCCTCCTAGAAAAGAAATGAGTTGGTTCATTACAACTGGAGCCAAAGTATCAACTGCTATACCCAGATCCAAATATAGTGCCTTCTGGCACAGAAAGAACTCAGAGCCAGAGGCAGTACTGGTGGACACCTGATAGCATTGCCCAAGTAACTGGAGCTAAAGTTTTACTTGTTGTGGAGACAAATACACCGAAAATCCAGGCAGAGAACAAATCACATTACCTCCATTTTAGAAAGTACTTTGAAGATGGATTTTAAATCTCCTGGTATGTCTTGTTGTTTGTTTTTTGTTTTGGTTTTACTTTTTAAATTTTCAAAAATACACAAAATAGAATACTATAATGAACACTCAAGAATAATATAATGAATAGCCTCAATAATTACCATCAATAATATAATTTACTTTTGGGTTTTTGTTATTGTTGTTTGGTTTTGTTTTTTTTGAGACAGGATCTTGCCCTGTCACCCAGGCTGGAGTGCAATGGTGCAATCATAACTCACTGAAGCCTCGATCTCCTGGGATCAAGCGATCCTCCCACCTCAGACTCCAAAGTAGCTAGAATTGCAGGCATGGGACACCACACCCTGCTATTTTTGTTTTATTTATTTTTTGTTGTTGAGACAAGGTCTCACTATGTTGCCCAGGCTGGTCTCAGACTCCTGGCTTCAAGTGATAGTGCCGGGATTACTTTAATTTAAACTAAAGTTTTAAACATATTTTAAACAAACATAAGTATTACACATGTCAAGATTTCACAAACTATTTTTCAGGTTAAATGAAAGAATGTGAGTTTCAGTTCATCCATATTGCAGTTCAAAAGTTGGTAAAAAAAAAAAAATGTTTGGCAGGGTTTTTTTTTTTTTTTCCAAATGGAAACTCTTAGGGCAAGTAAATCTTGGTGAAGTTCCATCAGTTTAAAACTGAGTATGCTCAGAAATTAACTTTTATTAGTCCAACTACTAAATAGACAGACGTTCAGGGACTCATTCATGTTAAAAATCAAGCTTGCTAGAAGCTTGTAAAAAACCCAGAGGTGGCCAGGCGCAGTGGCTCATGCCTGTAATCCCAGCACTTTGGGAGGCCGAGGCAGGTGGATTACCTGAGGTCAGGAGTTTGAGACCAGCCTGGCCAACATAGTGAAACCCTGTCTCTACTAAAAATACAAAAATTACCCGGGCGTGGTGGCACACACCTGTAATCCCAGCTACTCGCGAGGCTGAGGCAGGAGAATTGCTTGAGCCGGGGAGGCAGAGGTTGCAGTGAGCCGAGATGGCACCACACTGCACTCCAGCCTGGCTGACAGAGCGAGGTTCTGTCTCAAAACAAAACAAAACAAAACAAAAGAAAGAAAGAAAAGAGAAGAAAAGAAAAGAAAAAAACCCAGAGGTTGAATTTGTTAATTTACACTAAAAGGTTACCTGTGAAGCAATCTGAACCTTCATATCATTTTACTTACAGGAGGGAAGTCTAATTGAAAAATAAAATTTAGGTCAGAAGTTTGCTTGGTGAGTATAGAATCAGAGTAAAAGGAGGTGCAAGAAGTTAAGGAGAAGCCTCATCCCATTGGATAACCAGATGGACTCTTCCCTTGTAGGGTGATGACTTCAGCAAGTGATTTAGGATGCCGCTAACACAGCTTCCACAGGCTGCAGTTGGAAAACACTAATAAGGGCTTAGTTTCAAACTCTTTCTTGTCGGAGTGCCTAATTTCTATTTCTTTCTATTAATAAAACACCTCATTATGAAGAGATACTATTTCTTTTCCTTTCTATTAATGAAACACCTCATTATGAAGAGATACTATTTCTTTTTCTTTTTCTTCTTCTTTTTTGAGATGGAGTCTCGCTCTGTCACCCAGGCTGGAGTGCAGTGGCGCGATCTCGGCTCACTGCAAGCTCCGCCTCCTGGGTTCACGCCATTCTCCTGCCTCAGCCTCCCGAGTAGTTGGGGCTACAGGCGCCCGCCACCACGCCCGGCTAATTTTTTGTATTTTTAGTAGAGACGAGTTTTCACCGTGTTAGCCAGGATGGTCTCCATCTCCTGACTTCGTGATCTGCCCATCTCGGCCTCTCAAAGTGCTGGGATTACAGGCGTGAGCCACCGCGCCCGGCCAGAGATACCATTTCCAAGGTTGTAGATTACCTACATGAGTAGCATTTTAAATTAATGTCGTCCCTCTTGAGGGAAACTCCCAGGCCCCTTGCTGAAGGTTAGGAAGCAACCGACTGAGCAACTATTGACTCCCCAGCGTGCTTTCTACCACACCTCAGGTCATTTAGATTTGAACACTGGCAAAACACAAATGCAGATTTTTCCTGTTTCTCCAGATTTCAGAGAAAAGACTACAGTTGTTTGATTGCTTTTTCTGAGATGGTTAAAGAAAGACTAGCCTGTAACCCAATTTCTAAGGGTTGGCTTCCCAAAGAATCAAAGTTCTTACTTAGATTTTCAGGTTGAACACTAGAAAAACACATTTTCATCTTTTTCCAGGCTTGTTGACTCTATTAATATTTGTTTCTAAGATTAATAAAACAGATTCTGTCTTTCCTTTGTGCATGTATATGCTATCAATTTATTATTATATATTAGCTTTTCTTTATCAAAGGGTTGAAAATTGAAACAAATTCAAGACTTCTTATAGTATTAAAATTTCTGTTTCATTAGATCTGTCTCATACTGTGAACAGGAATAAATGAGAAGCTTTCAACAGGCCGTGAGGTTTCATGACTTCCTTCATTTGTTCTAAGTGGCTTCCTTTCTAGCCCAACCCTCACCAATTCATAAGAATTTGACCTGATCAACCACCCTGTTCTGAAGGAGAAAAGATTTTTTTTCCCACCAGTGGCTAAAATATGGCTGAAACACCCGTAACAAAAAGGAAATTGTCAAGAAACAAGCATACAAATTTATTTAAGTTTTATGTGACTCAAGAGCCTTCAGAAATAAAGAACCAAAGAAAAAGGGAAATCAGTGTATTTTTTTTGCTAAGTTTGATGAAAGAGTGGATAGTTGTAGAGAAGGATGACTGCACAAAAGGGGTATGATATAATGGTAATAAACTGGGGGAAACTTAGTTTGTTCAGATTCTTCTCTGTGTCCCTGTGTCTTCAGAGATAAGGACATTCTTCTAGGTTTAGGGAGGGCATCTCTCACAAAAGGGTCTTATAACCTGCTTCAGAGGAAGGTCAGATAATTCTTTTATGGCCTGCTTCATGGGAGAAGAGTGTGGAGAAAGACTTCCTGCTTCTGCTGCTTTCTTAAATGCCAAGGTGCCATATACTGGGGTACTGTGTCTTGAACCCCATCACTCTCTACAGACACAAATTCTTAAAAATTAATTTTATCCAAAGGAATAATATTAGAGGTCATTTTATTATACCCTTATTGATTGCCAACGCATTTTGATTCTCGCATTTGTAAAGAATAGCTTCCTCTTCTGCTTGTCTGTTCCAAGACAGTTGACTGGAAGACTATGTAGTGACAGACTCGCTGGGATGCAGAAGAAATTTTCTTGCTGTAGCATTTAGGTATTAGTAACATCTCTGAAATAATGACATTTGGTTATCTTATTTACAAAGTATAATGTTGGAGATAAATAATCTCACCAAAAATAATCCACTTTTTAGCTTTGAAGTTAAAAAAATCCACGGGTTAGTTCCACAAACTCTAAGGTAATTGCTGTGGTTTCAATGTGTACTCCAAAGTCCAAATATTGAAACAATGCCCAATGCAGCAGTGTTGAGAGGTGGAACTTAAGAGATGATTAAGTCATGAGGGCTCTTCTCTTACGAATGAATTAATGTCGTTATCAAGGGACTGGGTTCCTGATAAAAAGATGAGCACTATCCCCTTCCCTTCTCTTTCTCTCGTGAGCTCTCTTGCCCTTCTGCCTTCAGCCTGCAATGATGCAGCAAGAAGACTCTCACCAGATCTGGCCCCTCAGTCTTAGAGTTCTCAGCCTCCAGAACTGTGAGCCAAATAAGTATCTGTTCAGTATAAATTACTCAGTCTTAGATGTTATTATATTTTATATATAAAAATTATATGTTAAAAGCAGCACAAAATAGACTCAGATAGCAATCTTCTATTTTTTAATTCTGATTTACCTGTTTGATTGATTGATTGATTGATTGATTGATATAGGGTCTTGCTCTGTCACCCAGACTGGAGCACAGTGGTGATATCACAGCTACTGCAGCCCTAATCTCCTGAGCTCAAAGAGATCCTCCAATCTTAATATCCTTTCCCTAACCCCTCACTCTTCTGCCTAATAGCTGAGATTACAGGTATGGCCATCCTGTCCAGCTAATTTTTTTTCTTTTCTTTTTTTTTCTTTTTTTTTTTTTTTTTGGTAGATACTAGTTCTCTCTACCTTGTGCAAGCTGGTCTCAAACTCCTGGACTCAGGACATCCTTCCAGTTCTTCCACCTTGGCCTCCCAAAGTGTTGAGATTACAGGTGTAAGCCACCCTGCTGGGCCTGTTTTCTTATCTACATAATAACTATCATTATGGATTGACAAGTACTTCCTTCTTTTATAATTAAATTTTTATGTTTATTTTAACAGTTTTTGGGTTTAAAGGTGGTTTTGGTTATATGGATAAGTTCTTTTTTTTTGAGATGGAGTCTCATTCTGCCGCCAAGGCTGGAGTGCAGCGGCACAATCTTGGCTCACTGCAACCTCCATCTCCTGGTTCAAGTGATTCTCCTACCTCCTGAGTAGCTGGGACTACAGGCATGTGCCATCATGCCCAACTAATTTTTGGATTTTTAGTAGAGATAGGGGTCTCACCGTGTTGGCCAGGCTTGTCTCAAACTCCTGACCTCAAATGATCTGCCCCCCTTGGCCTCCCAAAGTGTTGGGATTACAGGCGTGAGCCGCTGTGCCCAGCCTGGTTACATGGATAAATTCTTTAGTGGTGATTTCTGAGATTTTGATGAACCCCTCACCTGAGCAGTGTACACTGTACTCAATAAGTAATTTTTCATTCCTTACCCCCCAATCTCTCCCCGCTCCCCGAGTCCCCAAGTCCATTATATCATTCTTATGCCTTTGAATCCTAATAGCTTAGCTTCCACTTATAAGTGAGAACGTACGATATTTGGTTTTCCATTCCTGAGTTACTTCACATAGAATAATGGCCTCCAGCTCTATCCAGGTTGCTGCAAAAGAAATTATTTCATTCGTTTTTGTGGCTGAGTAGTATTCCATGGTGTGTGTGTATATATATATGCATATCACATTTTCTTTAACCACTTGTTGGTTGATGGGCACTTAGGTTGGTTCCATATCTTTGCAACTGTGAATTGTGCTGCTATAAACATGCATGTGCATGTATCTTTTTCATATAATAACTTCTTGCCTTTGGGTAGCTACCCAGTAGTGCAATTCCTGGATCAAATGGTAGATCTACTTTTAGTTCTTTAAGGAATCTCCATACTGTTTTTCATAGTCGTTGTGCCAGTTTACATTCTCATCAGCAGTGTAAAATTGTTCTCTTTTCACTACATCCATGCCGACATCTAGTGTTTTTTGACTTTTTAATTATGGCCATTCTTGCAGAAGTAAGGTGGTATCTGATTGTGGTTTTAACTTGCATTTCCCTGATAATTAATGATGTTGAACATTTTTAAATATGTTTGTTGGCTGTTTGTATATCTTCTTTTGAGAATTGTCTATTCATGTCCTTTGCCCATTTTTTGATGAGATTATTTGTTTTTTGCTTGATGATTTGTTTGAGTTCCCTGTAGATTCTGGGTATTAGTCCTCTGTTGGATGCGTAGGTTGCAAAGATTTTCTCACACTCTGTGGGTTCTCTGTTTACTCTGCTGATTATTTCTTTTGTTGTGCAGAAGCTTTTAAGTTTAATTAGGTCCCATTTATTTATTTATGTTTTTGTTGCCTTTGCTTTGGGGTCTTAGTCATGAATTCTTTGCCTAAGTCAATTGAAAAGTACTTTCTTTGTGGAGCCCACCTACAAAGTGATAATAAAATTATCTGACAATATCATAACATGATATATTTAGCTCAGAGTGGCCTACACATTGAAGATATGTGCAGTGCTTATCATTCTTTATACTTTTTCCATTGAAAAAGTTGTAAGTACAAACATCTGAGTGGTTAGCATATTACTTTCTAACAAATGAAAACCCTGCAAGTAGTTAACTGACATGAGGAAGAAACTCTGGGTGTTATTTGTTGGTAAATTTGCTATTGCACTACGTTGTTATAACAACTGATTACAATTTTAAGGCTATTTTTAAGGCTTTTATTATGATACATCTTTGCTTTGGTTGTTTGTTCATTTTGGTTTTAATTTGTCCCATTATCATCAACAAAAGTTACTGATCTTTTCCTTTCTTTCCTTTCAATCTTAACGAGACTCCTGGTCCTTTTCCTGTCATAAAACCAGAAAAGAAGAGCAAACAAATATTTAGGTGAAAGAATGAGGTATCAGGAACCGTCTGACCCCAATCCACACTATTGTCACCTAAGCTGTCAGTGCTCCTCTACCTAGCTTCTGTAAGTCAGGCTGTTGAAAGGAATACCCTCTTTTACAAAACAGGGAACTGTGGTTTAAATGCCTTGCCTATGGTTTCCCACTGAACCAATAACAGGTAGAAATAGAACCCAGATCTCCTGACATGTGATTCAATGCTCTTTCCACTTCACAATGATGCCTAAAAATATAAACAAATTTTTAAAACTCTCCAAAGAAAATAATACCTTATCCATTTCCATGTTGTAAGTTACATCATTGAAGCTGAAGTTCAGTAAGATTAATTTTTAAAATTTTTATATTGAATCTAACAACTCAGTAACTCCTATAATAGTTTCAATCTGTAAGAACCCTTAGAAATTTTTACAAATAACCCTTACCATTTTCAAAAAATAAAAATGTCTTCAGGAAAATGAGATCCTTTGTATGGTTTTATTTACACATTTTAATTACTTCACTGTATTCCATCAGTGCCACCCCTACACATTTGTCTTGTTGATCTTAGATCTTAGTGTAAATGTCATTTCCCTGTGGCAGCCTTCTCTGATTTTTCAGAAAAACTTACTTCCACACACTGTATTTATATTTTTATAGCATCTGCACTTTTCCTTCACAGCCCTTGTTATGCTAGTAAATACATGGTAATTTGAGTAATTATTGTTTAATGTCAGTTTACCTTCCAGATCATAAGCACTGTGAAGGCAGAATTTGTTCGTCTTGTTCACTAATATGTCCCCAGCATCAGGAAGTGATGGATACATAGTAGGTATTCATTAAATATTTATGTAATAAGCAAACATATGTGTTTCTCAGGGTAACTACATAAGCTTTCGCATAGCTGGTTTAAGAGAAATAATAAACAATAATGGTCCTCTTCATTGTACACCTACTCTGTTCAATACACTAGGCTAGGTGTTTTACACGTGTATTCTCATAATAAGCCTATGAAGTAGCTATAAATTTTATTCACACTTACAAATGAGAACACTGAAGTTTAGGAAGATTAGTTAATTTATCCAAGGTTACCTGACCAGTGGCTGGAGTTTGATTGCTATAGGAATTTAGGAAATTTTTTAAATGCATGAAAAATATAGTTTTCTTTATTCAAAGAGTAATCTCTCCTTCTGTCTTTTCACACTGGAGAAAAGGTGGGAAAATGAAGCCACCACTTTACCTTATAATCATTCAGAGTCAAACTCTTTCATTTTGACTACTGTGTTGCAGATTCCAACTGTAGCACTGTCTTAGTCAATTTTCCACTGCTGTAACAGAATACCTGAGACTGGGTCATTTAGAATAAACAGAAATGTATTTGGCTTATGGTTCTGGAGGCTGTGAAGTCCAAGAAGTGGGGCCACATCTGCTGAGGGCCTTCTGAGGGCCTTTGTGCTGCATCACCCCACAGTGGAAGGGCAAAGAGAGAGAGCAAGAGAGGGTCTAACTCACAGTTATAACAAATCTACTGTCTGGATAATGAACCCAGTCCCTTGATAATGACACTAATCATTCATGAGGGTAGAGCACTCATGCCCTAATCATTTCTTAAAGGTCCTGCCTTTCAACACTTTTGCTTTGGGGATTAAGTTTCCAAAATATGCTTTTTAGAGGAGCAGTCCCCAACCTTTTTAGCACCAGGGACCCATTTCGTGGAGATAATTTTTCCACAAACATCGAGGGTTGAGGTGGGGCAGTGGTGAGGAGGGTGTGGGGATGGGGTGGGGTGGGGCCGAGGAAGGGATGGTTTCCAGTGAAACTGTTCCACCTCAGATCATCAGACATTAGATAGATTCTCATAAGGAGCATGCAACCTATAGCCTTTGCATGCTCAGTTCACAATAGGGATTGTGTTTCTGTGAGAATCTAATGTTGCTGCTGATCTGAAAGGAGGCGGAGCTCAGATGGTAATGCTCTCTGGCCTCCCCTTACCTCCTGCTCTGCGGCCTGGCTCCAGTAGGTCTCTGATTGGCATCCATCAACGGCTAGGGGGTTGGGCACCCCTGTTTTAGAGGACACATTCAAACCATAGCAAGCACTTTGGCTTTTATGTCTATGGGTTAAAGCCAAAGATTTCAAACCTCTCTTTCCCATTTTCATATATCATCTAACTAAGTATTTAAAATGGTGTCTATATTTCTATACATTCAAAGAGATAAATGATATTTTTGATGTTTATTTATCCTAAGAGTGCAAATAAAAATAGGGAATGAAGTAATAAGAGGGGATATAGTGCAATTACATTTACTTACAAAAGGAGAGAAGTGATGTTTACATTTGCCCATAGATCCTTAAATAAATGTTAAATAAATACAATCATGGATCAACAAAACAAAACTTTTCTTTTTCCTTCAGACAGATTACTTCTTTTTGGGGCCTGTCCAAGAATTACAAGTAGGACTCACTACTTAATCTCTCTAAACTGTGAAATCCCTTGACATAAAAAAAACAACAGAACCTTATTGAAAGAGAAGTAATGTGCTATATAGTGGAAAGCAGCTATTTATTTGGCCAAACTTGATGAATTTTTAGTATGGAATTATTTGTTCTTCAAAATAACATTGCCAAGAATCTTTTTATTCCACTACTCACTACTTTTCCCTATTTCCTTTGAAAGTTAAAAACAAGTTCTTAATGAAAGCTATAACAGATATGGGGCAAAAGAAATACCCAAGGGTAGAAACTTTTCTATCTGCTCTGGTTTTTTTAATTAATTAATTAATTTATTTATTTATTTTTGAGACAGGGTTTTGCTCTGTTGTCCAGGCTGGAGTGCAGTGGTGCAATCTTTGCTCACTGCAGCCTCCACCTCCCAGGCTCAAGCAATCCTCCCACCTCAACCTCCTGAGTAGCTGGGACTACAGGTGCATAGCACCACGTCGGGCTAATTTTTGTATTTTTAGTGGAGATGGGGTTTTACAATGTTGCCCAGGCTGGTCTTGAACTCCTGGGCTCAAGTGAGCTGCCCACCTCAGCCTCCCAAAGTGCCGGGATTACAGGTGTGAGCCACTGCACCTGGCTATGTTCTGTTTATTTCAAGGCACTTTCTAGCAACTGTAAGACAATACGATACAGCACCCAAACTTGAATGCAAGCATCACTTCAGAAATAGGATTATATGGCATATAAAATGAAAGAGAATAGGATTTATAGAGTCCCTATTGTGTACCTAGCTCAGAGGGAAGCCCCTAGTTTTGTCACACAGTTTCAGCAAGCTCCCAGAACACTTTCTGGCTTAAGGAGTGGTCTGCATGGGCCACAACCAGGAGAAAGAAGGATTAAAGCAGACATCCAAGCTAATCTCACATCAAATGAGAGTACTGCATAAGTACATTAGAGCTTAGCTTTAATAAGTCCTATTTATTGCATGAATTTTGACATGGATCAGTTGACAAGTCTCCAGATATAACAGGTATATGAATAAAATAGGCTGGGTTTTTTAAAATTAGGTTTTAAACCTGTTACGAATAATCTCCATAAATTCTCAACTGCGTCACCTTTGCTTCCTTCCAGTACCATTGTGATTGCCATTTTAGGCAGATTTCATTATGCTTTAAACTTAAGGCAAAAGTTTACAACTCAGCTTTGGTGTGTCCATTCTTGCTGTCCTAGCCCCTCAAAATATTGCATATTATGCATTATATGTAAAGATGTGATTGCTAGAATTAAATTACTACCATATTTGTAGGAATTTATATTGTCTTCCTTGTTAAGTGAGAACCACTTGATTGTGTGAAACCTGCAAGCAACATCCAAATCAACACATTTTTTGTTAACCCCAAATCTTACAGATATTTTAACTGAAGTCCTAAATTCTTTTAAATTGTCTATATTTCAGTGGAAACCATGAACAAATTAACATTTTTTTCTTAATTAGCTGTTTTACTTGATTACTAGGTTTCATCATGCCAAATAAATAATGGGGCCAGGGCAATGAATTAAATGGTCACATAGCCCTGGGAGAAAGCTGGGATATCTTAAGGGTGATTTTGAATCTCATATCTTATTTGCTTACATTGGAGAATGTAAAAAGTGGTTAAGAATTTTCTGTAAGGGTTGTATGATGGATACTTACAGATGCAAATGGATTGAAACAATCCATTAACAATAATGTCTGAAGTTAAGGAAAGATCATCATTTATATCATGAAAAACATGAATAAACACTGAGAAAATAGTTTCACCTTGTAATTTTAAAAAGGGCTTTGAAGATGTTTGTAGCTTTGGCAGTGTTCCAGAAGCAGCAGATCAGAGTGATCCAGTGGAGCAGAGTGATCCCGCTTAATATAGAATGCTGCAGCCCTGAAGTCTCATGAAAGCCATGATATTGTCTGGAGCAACCAAATGTGTGGTTAATACACATGGGCCCAGCCTTCCACTGGGAGATACTTGTCAAGATTTCCTTAGAAATGAGTTGTACTGCTGGGAGGAGTGGCTCACGCCTGTGATCCCCGCACTTTGAGAGGCTAAGGTGGGCAGATGGCTTGAGCCCAGGAGTTTGAGACCAGTCTGGCCAACATAGCAAGACCCCATTTCTACTAAAACACAAAAAATTAGCTGGGTGTGGTGGCATGCACCAGTAGTCCCTGCTATTTGGGAGGCTAAGGTGAGAAAATCACCTAAGCCCGTGAGGTCAAGGTTGCAGTGAGCTGTGATTTTACCACTGCACTCCAGCCTGGGTGACAGAGTGAGACTCTGCCTCAAAAAAAAAAAAAAAAAAAGAGAGAGAGAAATGAGTTGTGCATCTAAAAAGAACACATCAAACAATACAAATATTAACAATATTTTCTTTTGTTTTTCTCTTTACCTACATTGAGACAAAGTTTTTACAATACACAATTAAGCACCTATTCTAGTGTGTTAGATTGTTGGCAATATTTTAAAAACCAGTACTGGAGCTAGTCCAATTATTTCTGATTAGCTCTTTCTTTGTGCCTCTGCTAGGGAAAAACAATGGGTATCTCCAAACATTTGACTAGTGGTAGTTAAGCATAATAGGGTCTAGAAGGATTATAGGAAAACAAATGATAGGAAACACTTCATTAAACTATCTAGATAGCTAGAGATGCTCAAGCTTCATTCATTCAAAAAATATTTATTAAGCACCTGCTTTATGACAGGCATTGTTTTATTTGCTTATTTGTCTTGAGATAGGGTCTCACCCTGTCACCCAGGCTGCTGAAGTTCAGTGGTACGATCTTGGCTCACTGCAACCTCTGCCTCCCAGGCTCAAGTGATCCTCCCACCTTAGCCACCTAAGTAGCTAGGACTACAGACACGTGCTGCCATCCTCAGCTAATTTTTAAACTTTCTGTAGAGACGAGGTCTCAAACTCCTGGGCTCAAATGATCCTCTGGCTTCTGCCTCCCAAAGTGCTGGGACTACGGGGATGAGCCACCACATACAACCCAAGCGCTGTTTTAGGAATGTGACTCTGGTGATTTAAAAAATGTCTTTGCCCTCAGGAACTTAACATTTTGATGTGTATCACAGGCAATAAAACACGTACGTACATTATTTTTGAGTGATGCTAAATGCTAGAAAGACTGATAAAGCATGGCAAGGGAATCATGAGTAATGGTGTGATGGGATGAGATGATATTTTAGGGCAAGAGCTTTCTGAGGAGGTGACATTTAAGCAGACTACTGAGTGATATAAGAGTGAGCTTCACAAAAATTTGAGGAAAAGTACTTCAGACAGAATAAAAAGCAAAAAACAAACAAAAACTAAAAAATATCTTGAGAAGCAAATGTATTGAAGCTGTTTTTAGTATAGTACAGAGGCAGGTTTTGCTAAAACGAACTAGAGAGAAGTTGGAAGTCAGAGAAGTAGACAAAGACTAGATGATTGCAGGCTTTGCAGACTATGAAAAAGTCCTTGAGTTTCACTCTAGTGCAACAGAAAGTTATTAGAGGGTTTTTGACAGGAGTAGGACATAATTTCATATATGAAGGCTTTAAAAGGCAAAAGTGGAGTGAGAGAGACCAGTTAGGGGAGGGATGGTGGCTCCGATCTAGCTGTGGTAGCATCAGATATGGTAAGAAGCTGTAGAATATTGCAAATATTTTGGGAGTGGATTTGAAAAGAGTTGCTGATGGCTTAAGTGTAGAGAGTAATTAAAACAAAAAGAAGAGCCAGGAATGATCCCAACATTTTGGCCTTGAGCATATGAATGAACGGGGTGTCATTTACTGGAATATAGATAGCAGTCAAGGCAAATGAGAGAGCAAAGGTTTCTAAGAGAAAAGCAGAGTACTGCCTGATGATATAAATATATATAAAAACTCAATAAGAAATGTCAAAATTTTAGGAGCTGCAACATAAAGATCATATTTATACAAATGTCATGAGACTTTAATATTATTCATGTTTCTAGAAGGGGGATAAGTTTGGGCAGAGATGCTTTAACTTTTCCTTTTTATACATTTCAATGCCTGTTCAAGCTTTTAAAAATTTTGTTCATGTGTCACTTTCATTTAAAAATGTCTTAATGTAGCAATAACAAGGTAATAAGAATTAATAGTTAAATGAGAGATGTTATATAAACAGATAGGATTGTTACCCTGTTTATGAATTACTCTTATTTTAAAATTTAATATACCAATTACAAGGTAGTAAGAATTTTAATAAGTTAAATGAGAGATCCTATAAAAGCAGATAAAATGAAAAGTCAACTGCATTTACCTGCTTTACCGGTTTTAAAACTATCCAACCTCTAAACACTTTCATGAGCCTTACAAGAAGACAAGTGTGTCTTCAGAGCTCCCTTCTAACTTTATATTTGACATAAACTCCGACTTGTTCCTTAGTTTAAAGTTTGCTTTCTTTTCCCAGCTATGCTTTACACAGCTCCACTTGTAGTATGATATGCCCTGCCTCAGGCTCTAAAATGGTTTATACACATCTCTCTCAAAAGCATTTGTCATCTGTCCCTAATCCAGTGACTGCTACAGACCCAAACCAGTTGGCCTTGATCAGCTCAATGAGGCCTGTTTGTTTGCTCTTTGGAACTAGGTAGCAAATACAAGGGTATTCCAACTTGCCATATTACCTGATGCCTTCAACATGAAATCAGTTAGCACAGTGGCTGTAATGAAGTCACTCTTTCTGTTTAGATAAGGGAGTAGCCAAAGCTCTCAAGGACATTTTCACAGACTCCTATAGAGAAGGGATTAGGGTCTCTATTAATATACTCAGTCCTGGGATTCCTGGAACATGGGCTATTCTACTGATTTTTTTCCCCTCACATTCTTCCAATGAGTTACCCTTCATCTCCCCATACTGGGGTCTTATTTCAAGGGTGTTTACTAGCTCACTTATAATGTCAACTTGCTATTTTTAAAGATGTGATTATCAAATCATTAATTCATTTTAATGTCAGCTTTATTGAAGGGTAATTTTAAATGTACAATTCAGTGAGTCTTGACAAATGTATACAGCTGTGTAACTCCCATCATAGTAAAGAAATAGAACAATTCCATCACCCCAAAGGGTTTCTTCATTGCCCCTTTGTAGTTAATCCTCTCTCCCTAATCCACACACACCCAGATTCTGGCGACTGCTGATCTATCTGTTGCTATAGTTTTGCCTTTTCTACAACTTCATGTAAATGGAATCATATAGAGTTTTGTGGATGGCTTCTTTACCTTCACATAATAATTTTGAGATTCATCCCTGTCTTGTGTGTATATGTAGTTTGTTCCTTTTTATTGCTGTGTAGTATTTCGTTGTATGACTATCCCACATTTTGTTCATCCATTCACCAGTTGATTGATGTTTGTTTATAGTTTACACAAATTTGCTTATGAGTTTTTGTGTGAATTAAGAAGTAGGATTGCAGGGTTGGGTTTAAATCTACCATCTTATTATTTATTTTCTATTTCTCCCATCTGTTTCCTGTTCCTTTTTTGGCCTATTTTCCTGCATTCTTCTGGTTTAATTATATTTAGTATTTCATTTTGTCTCCACTATTAGTTTATTAGCTTTAGCTCTTTGTTTTATTTTTTTCTTGGTTTCTCCAAGGACCTACAATATACTTTTGTTGAGACAAGGTCTTGCTCTGTTGCCCAGGCTGGAGTGCAGTGGTGAGATCATGGCTCACTATAGCCTCAAACTCCTGGGCTCAGGCTATCCTCCCACCTCCCAAGTAGATGGGACTATGGGTGTGCACAAGCACACCTGCCTAATTATTAATTTTTTGTAGAGATGGGTCTCACTTTGTTGTCTAGGCTGGTCTTCAACTCCCAGGCTCAAGCAATCCTTCCAGCTCTGCCTCCCAAAGTGCTAAGATTACAGGCATGAGGCACCATACAGTATTCATTCAAATAATATAATATTGCTTCACACATAATATTAAAAAAGATAACAATATTCTTCCATTTCCCATCATCTTTTGTGCTATTTTTGTCCTATGCAATACTTTACATGTATTATAAACACTACAATGAATCATTATTATTTTTGCTTTAGCCAATCATCTTTAATTAGGTTTAAAAGAATTTCCAGCCAGGCACAGTGACATGCACCTGTAATCATAGCTACTCAGGAGGCTGAGGTGGAGGATTGCTTGAGCCCAAGAGTTTGAGATCAGCCTGGGCAATATAGTCAGACCCCATCTCAATAATATCCCATTATTTTAACCATTGCTTGGATCAGGGAGGCATTATTCTTTGTGTAGAACCAAATTTCCATCTGGTATCATTTTCTTCTTGCCTGATAAACTTCCTCTAATGTCTTTTCTATAAGGTGGGTCTGCTGGTAGTAAGGTGGCTTGGCTTTTATTCCCTAAAAATGTCTTTATTTCTCCTCCATTTTGTTTTCTTTAAGAGACAAGGTCTTACTTTATGCTCAGGCTGGACTCACACTCCTGGGCTCAAGCAGTCCTCCAACCTCAGCCTCCCAAGTAGCTGGGGCTACAGGTGTGTGCCACTATGCCTGGCTCATCTTCATTTTGAAAGACGTTTTCATTTAGTATCAGTCCTAGGTTGGCAGGTTTTATTTTGTTTTTGTTATTTTCCTTTTCAGTACTTTAAGGTTGCTGTTCCATGTCTTCTGGCTTACATAGTTTCTGACAAGAAGTCTGTTGTTATTCTTATCTTTGTACCCCTGTATTTTTTTTCACTCAGGCTGCCTTTAAGATTTTTGTCTTCATCAACAGCTTTCAGCAGTACATTTATTTATTTATTATTTAATTTTAGATTCATGGGGTACATGTGCAGATTTGTTACAACTGTCTGTTGTGTGATGCTGAGAGTTGGGCTTCTATTGATCCTATCACCCAAATAATAAGCATAGTATCCATTAGGAAGTTTTTCAATCCTTTCTCCCTCCCTGGCTCCCTGTTTTTGGAGCCCCCAGTGTCTATCATTCCCATCCTCATGTCTGTTGTACCCAATGAGTAGTTCCTGCTTATAAGTGAGAATATGCAATATTTGGTTTTTGTTTTTGTGTTAATTCACTAAGGATAATCCATTCTACTTGCCTTTTTATGGCTGTGTAGTTTTCCATAGTGTATATCTACCACACTTTTTTTATCCAATCTACCATTGATGGGCATCTAGGTTGATTCATGTCATTGCTAGCATAAATAGTGCATATGTAATAGTGTATATCATAAATATACAACTACAGTTGTCTTTTTGGTAGAATAGTTTATTTTCCTTTGGATATATACCCAGTAATAGGATTGCTAAGCCAAATCATATTTCTAATTTTAGTCTTTTGAGAATATCTAAACTGTTTTCCATAGAGATTTAACTAACTTACACTCTCACCAACAGTGCATAAGCATTCCCTTTTCTCCAAATCCATGCCAAAATTTATTTTTTTTTGACATTTTAATAATAGCCATTCTGACTGGTGTGAGATGGTATCTCACTGTAGTTTTAATTTGCATTTCTCTGATGATTAATGATATTCAGCATTTTGCATGTTTGTTGGCTGCTTGTAAGTCTTCTTTTGAGAATTGTCTGTTCATGTCCTTTGCCCAGTTTTGTTTCGTTTTTTTTTTTTTGAGATGAAGTCTTGCTCTGTCACCCAGATTGGAGTGTAGTGGAGCAATCTTGGCTCACTGCAAGCTCCATCACCCACATTCAAGCGATTCTCCTGCCTTAGCCTCCGGAATAGCTGGGACTGCAGGTGTGCACCATCACACCCAGCTAATTTTTGTATTTTTAGTAGAGATGGGGTTTTGCTATGTTGGCCAGGCTGGTCTCGAACTCCTGGCTTCAAGTGATCCACCCACTTCAGCCTCCCAAAGTGGTGGGATTACAGGCATGAGCCACTGTGCTCAGCCCTTTGCCTAGTTTTAATGGAGCTGTTTTTTTTTTTTTTTTTCTCTCTTGTTGGTTTGTTTAAGTTACTTATTGATTCTGGACATTAGTCCTTTGTCAAATATATGCTTTGCAAATATTTTCTCCCATTCTGTAGGCTGTCTGTTTACTCTGTTGATAGCTTCTTTTGCTGTGTATATATTATTCTCTCTCTTTTTTGAGACAGGGTCTCACTTTGTTGCCCAGGCTGGAGTGCAGTGGTGAGATGCTGGCCCACTGCAGCCTCAAGCTCCTAGGCTCAGTGATCCTTTCACCTCAGCCCCCTTAGTAGTTGGGACTGCAGACACATGCCACCATGCCTAGCTAATTTTTAAATTTTTTTTATAGATAGGGTCTCATTATGTTGCCCAGGCTGATCTTGAACTCCTGGCCTTAAGTAATCCTCTTGCCTTGGCCTCCCAAAATGATGGGATTAGAGGTGTGAGCCGCCATGCCTGGCCTGCACATATTCTTTAGTTTAATTAGGTTCCAATTATCATTTTTTGTTTTATTGCATTTGCTTTTGGGGTCAGGATCATAAATTCTTTACTTAGACTGATGTCCAGAAGAGTATTTTCTGTGTTTTCTTCTAAAATTTTTATACTTTAAGGTCTTACATTTAAGTCTTTAATCCATCTTGAGTTAATTTTTGTATATGATGAAAGATAGGGGTTCAGTATTGTCCTTCTGTTTATGACTAGCCAGTTTCCCCAGCACCATTTTGTGAATAGAGTCCCTTTTTCGCATTGTTTATTTTTGTCAAATCTGTTGAAGATCATTTGGTTGTAGGTGTGTGGCTTTATTTCTGGATTTTCTATTGTGTTCCATTGATCTATGTGTCTATTTTTGTACTAGTGCCATGCTATTTTAGTTATTATAGCCCTGTGGTATAATTTGAAGAGGAGCAATGTAATGCCTCCAGATTTGTTCTTTTTGCTTAGGATTGCTTTGGCTATTCGGGCTCCATTTGGTTTCCAAATTTAGGGTTGTTTTTTCCTACTTCTGTGAAAAATGACACTGGCATTTTGATAGGAATTGCATTGAATCTGTAGACTGCTTTGTGCAATATGGACATTTTAATGATATTGATTCTTCCAACCCATCAGCATCAGATATTATTCCATTTGTTTGTGTCATCTACAATTTCTTTCATCAGTGTTTTGTAGTTCTCCTTGTAGAGATCTTTCATCTCCTTGGTGAGACATATTTCTATGTATTTTATTTTTTGTGTTTGGCTATTGCAAATGGGATTGTATTCATGATTTGGCAGTTAACTTGAATATTATTGCTGTGTAAAATGCTAATGATTTTTTTTTGTTGATTTTGTATACTGAGACTTTACTGAAGTTGTTTATCAAGTCTAGGGGTCTTTTAAATAAGTCTTTAGGGTTTTCTAAGTACAGAATCATATCATCAGTGAAGACAGATAATTTGACTTCTTCTTTTCCAATTTGGATACCTTTTCTTTCTTTCTGTTGCCTGATTACTTTGGCTAGGACTTCCAGTACTATGTTGAATGGGAAATCCTTGTCTTGTTCCAGTTCTCAGGGCAAATGCTTCCAGCTTTCACCCATTAAGTATGATGTTGGCTGTGAGTTTGAACTGGGTTTGAATAACAAGACCCATATGTCTTGTTATTTTGAAGTATGCTCCTTCAATGCCTAGTTTGTTGAGCTATTATCATGAAGAGATAGTGGATTTTATTGAATGCTTTTTCTGCATCTATTGAGATGATCATATGTTTTTTGTTTTTAATTCTGTTTTTAATACACATCTATTGATTTGTATATGTTGAAACAACTTTGCATCCCAGGAATAAAGCCCACTTGATTGTAGTGAATTAACTTTTTGGTGTGCTGCTGGATTTGCTTTGCTAGTATTTTGTTGAGGATATTTGCATCTGTGTTCAGCAGGGATATTGGGCTGTAGTTTTCTTTTTGTTGTGTCTTTGCCACATTTTGGTATTGACTAGGTTTGCAGAAGGAGTTAGGGAGGAATCCTTCTTCCTCAATTTTTTGGAATAGTTTCAGTAGGACTGGTACCAGCTCTTCTTTGTATATCTGGTAGAATTTGGCTGTGCACCCATCTGGTCCAGGGCTTTTTTTGATTGGTTGGTTTTTTATTACTGATTCAATTTTGGAACTCAGGATTGGTCTCTTCGGGGTTTCAATTTCTTCCTTTTTCAAATTTGGGAGGTAGTGTGTTTCCAGGAATTTATCCATTTCCTCTAGATTTTTTAGTTTCTGTGCATAGAGGTGTTCATCATAGTCTCTGAGGATGTTTTGTATTTCTGTGGGATTGGTTGTGATGTCACCTTTGTTGTATCTGATTCAGCAATGCATTTATGATGTGCTTTGGAGGGGTTTATCTCTATTTTGCTTGGGGCGTGTTGATAATTTTGTTTCAAAGATTTATATTTTTCATTACATTTGGAAAAATTTCAGCCAATGCTTCTACAAATAGTTTTTCTGTGCTTCTCTTCCCATTTGGGACCCCCATCTAAATGTATATTGGAATACTGATACTGGCTTTCGCGTCATGATGCTCTGTTCATTTTTTTTCTAATTTTTTTTCTCAGTTTTTCATTTTGGATAGTTTTTATTCCTGTGTCTTCAAGTTAACTGACTTTTCTGAAGTGTGTAATCTGCAGTTAATCACATCCAGTGTATTTTTAATTTCAGATATTGTGTTTTTAATCTCCAGAGGTTTTTTTTAATCTTCTGTGTGTCTTCCATTTCTCTCTGCATCATATTCTTGTTTTCTTTTACTTTCTTGAGCATAGAGACCATATAGCAGCTCTTTTAATGTCCTTATCTCCTAATACTATCATCTCTATAATTTCTAGGTCTGTTTCTATTGATTGAGTGTTCTCCTAGCTATGGGTCATATTTTCCTGCTTCTTTGTAAGCCTAGTAAATTTTGCTTGGCTGCTGAAGATTGTGAATTTTACACTGTTGGGTGCTATATTTCGTTGTACTCCTGTAAATCATATAGAAATTTGAGAATAGTTAATTTACTTGGAAGTAGTTTGATTCTTTCAAGCTTGCTTTCAACTTTGTTAAGATACATACAGAGCAGCCTTTATTCTAAGTCTAAGTTGTCTCCACTATTAAGGTGATCTCTTCCTGAGGATTCTACCCAATGACTGTGTAACGAAAGGTTTTTTCACTCTGGCTGTTGGGAACACAAACTATTCCTAGCTCTATGAGAACCCCGGGAATTGTTTGGTTCACTGTTTTCTGATAGTTTTTTCCCCAAGCTATGAGTCAGTAGTTTCTTCACATACATGTGCAGATCAGTTCTCAGCTAGAAAGTTCAGGAAAGCCTTCTTCCAATCTCTGATGGCTGCTCTCCCTCTGTGCAGCTGACCCCTATCTTACAAAATTAACTGCTTTAGCCTCTCAGAACTCTGATCTCTGCCTCCTCAATGCATTGATCTCTCTGGGCTCTGTTTGGGTTTCACCTCCCTGTGCTGTGGTTTTGGAAAATACCTCCAGACATTAAGATAGGGCAATTATAAACCTTGCCTTTTTGTTTTTCTTCGATCAGGGAAAACAGTGCTACATTGCCAGTTATTCAGTGTCTAAAAAGGCATAATGTTATATACACTGTCCAGTTTTTAATTGTTTAAAGTGGAAGACAAATTTGGCCCCTGATATTTCACCATAGCAGAAGTAAAAGTCCCATTAATACTTATATTGGTATAACATAATAATTCAATATTCAATAGAAGTAATTTATTTACAAGTCATGTGGAAAAGAAAAAAACTGCAATAATCAAAACACAAAACAGGTCTTTATACTATTCATGCAACTCTGACAAATTCAAATACACAAACATGTACACATATACATGGCCCTTACGCATTTTATGGTGTTGAAATAGCTATTTGTGGGTCCCTCTCAGTAACTAAAAAATAAAAATCAAAGACTAAAAAGGAAAGTATTAATAAAAATAAGTAAAGAAAAAAATTAAAGATAATGGTTTCTTAACTCTGCGAGTGGTCAACAATTTTTTAATATGACCAAATTGCAGTTTTTACTTCAGTAGTTCTAATCTCCAGAACACTATGCCATAGCATCAAACTTGATCCCTCTACCCCCTTTTTTTGGTCACGTGGTGTCTAAGTCCAATCCTGCTTCTATAATGAAATACCTTAGACTGAGTAATTTATACATAATAGAAATTTATTTCTCATAGTTCTGGAGACTGGGAAGTCCAAGATCAAGGGTGCAGCAGATGCTGCATCTGGAGATGGCTTGTACCTTCTTGTGTGTCCTCTCATAGTGGAAGGGGCAAAAGGGACAAACAGCTTCCTCATACCTCTTTTATAAGGTCTCTAATCCCATTCATCACTGTATCACCTCCTAAAGGCCCCATATTTTAATACTATCATATCAGTGATTAAGTTTCAACATATGAATTTTAGGCACATTCAGACCATAGCAGTTAACTAGATTATTTCTCAGCCTCCTTTGAAGTTAGGTGTACACCTAACTTCAAAGTTAGGTGATGCAACTACATTTTTTCAAAATTAGGTGATGCGACTAAATTTTTGCCAATGGAAATAAGCAGAAGAGATGGGTGACACCACCAAGTCTGGCCCATAAAAACCTCCAATTCACAATCCACTACACTTTCAGTTTTTACTGAAACTATTTTGACACCCTTGAAAATCACATATTGAAGATGACAATGCCACGATAAGGAAAGAACTGAAGGACCACTTGTACTAAAGCTGCTCACTTATCAGAAATTCCTGTGATTTGAATTGAGGAAGAAATTAAAAGCAAAAAACCATTATGTGAAAACCACTGATGTGGGGGAATTTGTCTGGTACTTTAGCAAACAGTATTAATTCTTCAACACAGTTTTCTTTTCTCCCAAACTCTTAGTAATTTTTCAACCACTCACACAAATGAGACATAGTTAAAAACCAAAAAGATTTGTATTTTTCTTTTTATTTGTGTTTCTTTACGAGACTGATGCTGGGAACATTTAATGTGATACGGCAGTGCAGGGCAAAGTTATAGGCATGGGCTTAGGAGTTAATCAGACCTTTGTTTGAGTGCCTGCTCGACCACATACTAACAGTGTGACCAAAATATAGTTTTCTTATCTGTACAATCAGAATATCAATTCCTACATTAGAAGTTTTTATAAGGCTTGCATAAGATACCATTTAATGTACTTTGCTTAGTTCCTGACCCAGTAGGAATAAATAGCAACAAGTACTATTACTCCATCTCCTACATATGTTATTGATGCAATCCACTTAATAGTTTTAAAAACATGCTATTATACCTCTAAAGCAACATCTCTGAAGAGTAATGGTAGTTTTAACATTTTTTATTAATCATTTCTTCCTGAAGATATACCAGAATATTTTCTACACAGATTACATTAGTAAATTTTGATAAACTGTTAACAAAGTAAAAATAAATTCTTCTTTCTATACAAATCTCTCAATTTTAAAACAAAGAGGAAAACTCAGAGGAGGTATTCATAGTCCTGTGTTTTGCAATCTGACTTGTAGTTCACTGCAGAGGATTACTGAGGCCCAAATGACTCACCTAATCTTGTCAGAGAATAGATAACCAGAGTGAGGAAATGTTCTCTGTGTTTTCACCTTTAGGCTATAACGCTACTAATGAGTCTTATCTTACAAATTGTCAGAGAGGCTAGTTATTAAGGTTAAAGTCCTATGGAATGTTGAAAAACTTCAGATTATAGTCAAACGATGCTAGTAATTTTTCCAAACTATTTCTCCAACTGAGCGTTACATGACTGAGTCTAGACTTCCATTCCTGCATTAAAAAAGAATTTTTAAAATAGTCAAGCATATCATTCTGCTCCTGTTAATCAAAAAGTAAAATGCTAGTTTCATTTTCAGCACCAGAACCATTCCTCTGTGACTTGAGGAGGGATCCAATTCTAGGCTAATGAACTAAACACTAGAGTAATTATTTCAACCTCTTTCTCTTGTAGACTCTACTCTGCACAGAACAACTTGAAAGAAAACTGCAGCTGTATTCTTAGCACACATATGTGCACCTCTATGTTTTTACATGTTGCTATAAAGTTTTTATCTAGCTATTACTTGGGCCTTGCAAATGAAAAACAACTTAGTTACAGAAGTTACAAAATAAACAAATTGCACCAGAAAGAAAATGCTGATTTGGAAAATATATGGTATGAAGCAAAGCATAAGTTTAGGATGTGGCTTTTGGGGTAGTGGTTGGGGGCAGGAAAGTTGGGAGTGGGAGGAGAAAGGGAGAAAGAATAGGAATGAATTATAAAGGCACCACATCTTGAAAATCTGTGACCGAAGAAAAGTAAGAGCATGCTAAGATTATATCCTTGATATTGAACACAATATCATTATTACTCTCATGTGAAGAGACTGAAATGCTAAAGTAATCAACTAGTGATTCTAGAAATTTATGTAATTTGGATGCCTTTGTGGTGCATAATAATTAGCAAGGCTGAATAAGAGTCTACCCTAATTTATGTAGATATTCCCCTCCCCCAAATAATTGTGGGAATTATTTGAATAAATTAGCAGTTAAATAGAAGACATTTAAATTTTCATAGTTACATTTTTTTATTAGACTAGCTATCTATGTTTAACTATCAGTTAATCAGTTATATGTGTTTATAATTTTATAAAGGAGTTCAGAAAGGTGAATATAAGGTTTAAAAACCACAAATCCATCATGGGGCCAACCAACCATAGAGAACGTTACTGTTTAGTGGCAAGGAAACAGAAAATTTTTTCATTCTACTTTTTCAGATATTACAATGATTAAACAATTCTATTGACTAACTCTAATTGTTTTAACTTCTGCTTTATACTGCCAAGCAATGTTTTTGCTTTGAACTCCTGTTATTGGGAGAGGGGATCTAAATGTTTCAAAATCTAAGAAAAGGCCTTAATTTGATTTAATTTTTTAAGAAGATAAAGATGAGAGTAATTAGAGCTAATGAGGTTCCAGTTTATAAATATTATTGTGTTAGAGGAATAACAGCTTTAGGAAAACATAAACATCCTAGTTTGTATTCCCAAGGAGTTCTGTTTTGTATTTTTATTTTTTGAGACAAGGTCTCGCTCTGTTGCCCAAGCTGGAGTGCAATGACTGGATCATAGTTCAATGTAACTCAAACTCCCAGTCTCAAATGATGCTCCATCCTTGGGCTTCCAAGGTGCTGGGATTAGCAGGCTGAGCCACAGTGCACAGCCTAATTTTTTGATTCACATTTATCTAGTCTTCATTTCCAAATATTAGTCTTTAAGAGGCCATAAAGTAAAGGAAATAACTAGCTTTTCACCTAAATTAGACTTCAGAATGCTAACAATGAAAGAACAAGTTTCATATCAAAACTCGCTCATCAATAGCAGGGAACCAATATCTTGAAATAACTATAAAAGGAATTAAATCACAGGTTATTGAAATTAGAATGCTGTTTCAAATATACTTGATCAATTAACCACTTGAATGCACATCTCCCAAGTGTAAAAATTTTAATTTGAAAACTCAAAAGCTTATATGGTAATCAAATGTAGAAATAAAAATGGCAAAGTATGTGAGAAATACTTGAGACTTGTTTAAGGAGAAAAACCTGAATGTAATATTTCCATTTGAGACTAAGAGCAAAATCAAGATATAGACAAACAGATGAAATATTTTAGAGGCAGAACATTATGAATAGTGAAAAAATAACCTTTTCCTTGAAAATGGACTACAATTAAGAGCTAAAAATCCTAAATTGTTTCCACATTTTAGTAGACTTAAGCAGATCACAACAGATCAGTACTAAAACTACACTTCTAGAGTGTTAATTATATGACTAAATTGACATATAAGTGTCAGTTGCTGAGCTCCTAAGTGTTTAAGTTGATCACTTGAAAATTGAAGTTCAAGGTCATTTTTCATGTGCGCATCTGAGACCTGTAATTTAGAATAGTGAGTTATAGTATAAGGTGCTAAAAATAATGTCTTTAAGGGGATAGTAATGTCATAGTCTCCCAATTTTCCTCATGAGAAAGTTCAAGAATCTGAAAAAATAACCTCTATTCCCCATGGCATACATAGATGAAGTATTGTATTAGTCAGGGTTCTCCAAAGAAACAGAACCGATAGAATGTATATGTATATAGAAAGAGACTTATTATAAGGAGTTGCTTCACAAGATTATGGAGGCTGACAAGTCCCAACATCTGCAGGGTGAGATGGCAAGCTGGAGACCCAGGAGAGTTGATGCTGTAGTTCCAGTTTGAGTCCAAAAGCCTGAGAACCAAAAAAGCTGATGGTGTCATCCAATCTGAAGACTGAGAGGCTGGAGGAACAGAAAGAACTGATGTTTCATTTTGAAGATAGGTATGCAGAAAATTTTCCTACTAAGGAGAGGGTCAGTCTTTTGTTATATTCAACTGATTGGATGAAGCCCACTCACATTAGGGAGGGTTAATTTGCTTTACACAATCTACCGATTTAAACTAATCTCACCCCAAAACATCCTGACAGACACACACAGAGTAATGTCTGATCAAATATCTGGGCACCCTGTGGCCCAGTCAAGTTGACACATAAAATCAGCCATAACAAGTATGATGACTGGAGTAACTGATCACACTTTCTCCACTCAGATGTCCATTGCATTGAAGCAGTAGCAGTAGCACAGGTGGAGGGAGGAGTTACAACATGGTCTAAGTTGTCAAACTACCTGTGTTTGAATCCTGTCTCCTTAACTTATTCCTGGTGATCTTGGACAAGTTTTTGCTACATGTTTCTGATTCTTGATTAGTAAATTACGGATAACGATGGGTCCTACCTCATACTATTATTAATGTTGTGAAGAATAAATAAGACATTACATATAAACCACCTAGAAGAATAACTAGCACATAGAATGGATTCCCCAATAACGCATTATAGTACACAAAATTCATTGAAATGAAATTCTTTTCAAAAATCATTGCTTCAACATATTTTCCTGCCTTTAAAAATCATTGCTTCAAAATAATAAGAACCATGTATGACAAACCCATAGCCAATATCCTACTGGATGGTGAAAAGTTGAAAGCACTCCCTCTAAGAACCAGAATAAGACAAGAATGTTCACTCTCACCACACCTATTCAACACAGTACTGAAAGTCCTAGCCAGAGCAATCAGGCAAAAGAAAGAAAGAAAGAAATAATATCCAAATTGGAAAAGAGGAAGTCAAATTATATGTTTGCTGATGACATGACCGTATACCTAGAAAACCCTAAAGGCTTCTCCAAAAGACTCCTAGACTTAATATATGACATCAATAAAGTTTCAGAACACAAAATTAATATCCAAAAATCGGAAGCATTTCTGTAAACGAATAACTTTCGACCTGAGAACAAAATCAGTAACTCAATCTCATTTACAATGGACACACACACACACTCAATAAAATACCTAGGAATACATTTAACCAAGGAGGTGAAAGATCTCTACAAGGAGAACTACAAAATGCTGATAAAAGAAATCATAGATGACACAAACAGATGAAAAAACATCCCATGTTCATGGCTTGAAAGAATTGATATTGTTAAAAGGACCATACTGCTCAAAGCAGTGTGCAGAGTCAATGCAATCCCTAATAAAATACCAATGTCATTTTTCACAGAATTAGAAAAAAAAACCCTAAAGCTCATGAAGAACCAAAAAAAGGCCTGAATACCCAAAGCAATCCTAAGCAAAAATAACAAAGCTGGAAGCATCACATTGTTCCTCTTCAAATTACACTACAAGGCTATAATTATTACAACAGCATATTACTGGTACAAAAATAGACCTATAGATCAATGAAACAAAATAGAGAACACAGAAATAAAGCCACTTACCTACAACCAACTGATCTTTGATAAAGTCAACAAAAATAAACAATGGGGAAATGATAGCCTATTCAATAAATGATGTTGGGAAAATTGGCTAGCAATATGCAGAAGAATGAGATTGGACCCTTATCTCTCACCATATGCAAAAATTAACTCAAGGTGGATTAAAAAGTTAAATGTAAGACCCAAAATTATAAAAATCCTAGAAGAAAACCTGGAAAGAACTCTCGTGGACATTGACCTAGGGAAAGAATTTATGATGAAATTTCCCAAAAGCCAATGAAACAAAAACAAGAATAGACTAATTGGACTTAAACTAAAAAGCTTTTGCACATTTGGGAGGCTGAGGCAGGCAGATCACGAGGTCAGGAAATTGAGACCATCCTGGCTAACACAGTGAAACCCCGTCTCTACTGAAAATACAAAAAATTATCTGGGTGTGGCAGTGGGCGCCTGTAGTCCCAGCTACTCAGGAGGCTGAGGCAGGAGAATGGCATGAACTCGGGAAGCAGAGCTTGCAGTGAGCCGAGATCACACCACTGCACTCCAGCCTGGGCGACAGAGCGAGACTCTGTCTCAAAAAAAAAAAAAAAAGCTTTTCACAGCAAAAGAAATAATCAACAGAGTAAATGGACAACCTACAGAATGAGAGAAAATATTTACAAATTATGCTTCTAACAATAGACTAATATCCAAAAATCTACAAGGAACTCAAACCACTCAACAAGAAAAAAGCAAACAACCCCATTAAAAAATGGGCAAAAGACAGGAACAGACATTTCTCAAAAGAAGACTACAAGTGACCACCAACTGCATGAAAAAATGCTGAACATCACTAATGATCAGAGAAATATAAATTAAAATCGCAAATGAGATACCATTTCACATTAGTCAGCATGGCCATTATTAAAAAGTCAAAAAATAATAGATGTTGGTGTAGATGTGGACAAAAGGTAATGCTTATACATTGTTGGTGGGAATGTAAGTTAGTTAAATCTCTATGGAAAACAGTTTGGAGTTTCTCAAAGGACTAAAAATAGAGCTACCATTTGACACAGCAATCTCACTGCTGGGTATCTATTCAAAGGAAAAGAAATTATTCGTTCCAGCCTTCCCTTCTCCTCTCCATGTAAGAAAAGCTATGTATTTGGAAAACTGGATTTTGGGTTTTGCTTATATCAAGTCAGGCAAATGTGCAAGAGGAGGGAGAGAAAGAAAGGAAGTGGGGGAAAAACAAAATTTTTTGAGCTGAGTATCCGGGTTGAGTGAGTCGTGGGGAAACGAAGGTCTAGAGGATCTGCAAAGTGTAGGGGTACTACCTGGAGTAGGCTGGCCTGTTCTTCACACTACATCTCATCTCTTCCTGCTTTAGGCTCCCCTCCTGCTTTATCCTACTGCCTTTGATTTTGCTGAAGTGTGAGTTCAAACTTTAGTGCCTTGCTGTACTTGCATTTGTCCCCTCATTTCTTTGAACAGACTTACAGCTAGATTCCCTCCTGGCTTGGTACAGTCACTGATCTCTGTTATTTAATGAACCATCTCTGGTATGTCTTCAGAAATGACCTTCCTCCTATGACCCCCCACCCCAATAATGCTAGCAGCCTGAGCTGGGAGTGGAGCACCCAGGCCTCACCTCCCAAGCCCTGGCCTCAGGTGTGCTGGGTGTTAGAGTAAGAACAAAGCTTAGTTGATGTTAATTACTTGATAAGTTTGTACAATAACGATATCTTATATGTATTGTTACCTGTGGCTTACATTTACAATTATTTTCTGATATCTTACTATAAGACAAATAGCGTTTAGGATGATTAAAGGTGAGAGAAGCTGAAGGGCAAAATATTAGTCAAGTGGTCAATTACAAAGGCTTATAATAGGAATGGCTCCAAATGGAAATTGGTGTGTCAGAAAGATACCTATAAAGAAAACGAGCAAGGTCTGGTAACCACAAAGATAAGGGGGGAGGCAAAATAGTACTGTGAGGTTTTAATAAAAATCTCACAAAACCTGTTGTAAGATTTTACAAGGTGTAATGGCAGGACAGTGGCATAACTGTGGAATATGATGGCAGAGGGTGGTAGATTTGGTAGAGACTAAAACTGATTCAACAAAATTTGTGTTTGCCATGGTCAGTTTGACCCAATGATGGTAATATGTTGCAAAATTGGGTCTATGTTGGAAGTAGAAAAGAAGATAAGCAGATTTATTTGATTATCTTTCTAAATATTCTCTGAAACCACAGGATGAGAATGTTCCTTCAGTAGAGAAAAATGAAAACACTATAGTTGCTTCAATGCTATGCCTCTGAAGAGATGGCCAAACAATTCTGATTTATGGAGAGCTACATAAAATCTTTTTTAAAAAGATACCATGTTTTCTAAAATTCCAACAAAGGCAAGAAAGCAAAATAAACTTTAGCTGACCTTTTGCAAGAACTATCATTAAAAGAGGTTTCCGGAGTTAGTTGAGGGCAGTTTGTTTATATGAGGGAAATGGCCATGGATTATCACCTACTGTGTGAGTAAATGTCTATTTTTTATTCAGATTTCAGAAATAAACTGTTGCTCATGCCTAATAATGTCTTCTATGAGGTTTAACAATCTAGGTTAGGGAGAGGATCAATTTCACAAGCTAAGAAAAATCAAATGTTATGCCAAGTCAGGACAGATCCTTCTGAAGTGTTGATATTGATTCTACGGATTACAGGACTAACTTGCATGCTAAATAAGGTAGAATCTTTCAGAGTTTCAGTCTTGCACTCAGATTCTAGTGTTTTCTGATGGTAACACATTTGGAAGGGAGAGTCAAGTTGCTGGGTTTAGCTTTGACTTATTCCTTTGCATGATCTTTGAAGTTCATAAAGGGATATCTATTTTAAAAGATTTTCAAAATGACATTTATTACGTGTGTCTGTGTGCAAGGCTTTATGTTGGGTGCTTTTGCTAAAGGAGTAAAGGTTTTAAAAATACCATTCTTTTACAGTGTAAACAGGAAAGATTTTGAGTGGGTGGATTAGTCAGCGGACAGAACAGGGGAAAGCATTTGGGGATGAAGACTTATTATGGAAGTACAAAGTGAGAGAAATGACATTTCTTGGCTCTGTTCCCAGGATTGTTTGCTGGACGCAGTTTGCATGTGAAACGGGCAGCATTCACACCCAAAAGTACCACCTTCTAATCAACCGGTAGTGCTTTTAAGTTTACGTGTGTTAGTGTTTCAAAAATCAAAATTCCAAAGGGCTTTATTAACCTTTGATACACTTGTCAAAGGCAAACATAAAAAAAAAAAAGCAATCCCGAAGAGCCTCACCATTTTCCTTCCTGTTATCTATGTAAGATGAATATGCTTTTCCAAAAGCAAATCAGTAACTTTTTCTTACGTTGTTTTGAAGACTAACATGGCTCACTCTCAATTATCAAATCTGTCCTGAAATAATTATCAGTGAGTCATGAAATGACCTTCTTAAACTGAGTCTATGTCACTTGATCTGTGTTTCCAAAGTGTAAGGTTAATTTTCCATGTCCTTGAACCTTAGTCATGTTAAGTTAGGCTACAGAAAAAATGGGGAAAACAAATGAAATCCTCTACATAATCCTAGAGATGCTTACAAGACTCAGAGGTTTCAAGGATGGTATGAAAATCATTGCAAACTTGTTTACATTAAAATTCCCAGTAAAAATTTGGAATTGCAGTAACTGAGGAAAACAGGAAAGGCGGGATTTTGTAGACACTTAACCTCCTTTGTAGCTTTCAATGGCAGAGTATCAGAAGAAATAACACAGGTCATGTGTCAAGAATTTTAAGAAGAATGTTTTTAACATTAAAATTTAATGTATTATCTACAATTGCTAGATAAGATTACTCCTACTGTGGTAACTGGCAAGAAACAATGTGAGTAGAGGCGTGAGGAAAATTGGAATATAAGAGAGAACTGACAAGTTTACAATATTAAAAATGATATTAGGGTGGGCATGGTGGCTCACGCCTGTAATTCCAGCACTTTGGGAGGCTGAGGTGGGCAGATCACTTGAGGTCAGGAGTTTGAGACCAGCCTGGCCAACATGGTGAAACCCTGTCTCTACTAAAAATACAAAAATTAGCCAGGTGTGGTGGCGGGCACCTGTAATCCCAGCTACTCAGGAGGCTGAGGCAGGAAAACTGCTTGAACCCTGGAGGTGGAGGTTGCAGTGAACCAAGATCACATCATTGCACACCAGCCTGGGTGACTTTGTCTCAAAAAAAGAAAAAGAAAAGAAAAGAAAAGAAAAATATTAGTGAGGACAAAAATGTCCACTTTAACACAAGGGAAAACATTTTCTGTGTCTAAAGGAAATAAAAATGAAATGGCTTCCCCAGATCAAAAAGCCTAGACAAATGATTCAAGCTAAGCCCTGATCCTACTTCTGAATTCCAACTCAGGCATAGCTTAAGAGTTACAGTAACTCTTCTAAATTCATCAGAGGAGAGAGTTGAAACATGTTAAGGCTTTGATTTAAGAAGCTTTTCAATTTTAAAATTTATAGTTTTAATATAAACTATATTATATATATATATAGTTAAGTAACTGTTCATGGAATTGGTTTTTCAAGAAAATATTTATTCTTTATTAATAAGTTAGAAGTCACCATGAATCAGACCATCATTCTGAAATATTGCCAACCAGCATGTTTCTTTTCCTTCCTTCCTTCCTTCCTTCCTTCCTTCCTTCCTTCCTTCCTTTCTTTCCTTCTTTCTTTCTTCTTTCTCTTTCTTTCTTTTTCTTTCTTTCCTTTCTTTCTTCCTTCCTTCCTTCCTTTTTCTTTCTTTCTTTCTGACTCTATGTTAATCTTCTCTGCATCGTTCAAATTTTAGTGTATGTGCTGTCCAAGGCCTCCTTCTCAAACTTATGTGGGAGAAGGCAATCAGGGAGGGGCCGGACAGCCTCGTCCTCACTTGCATGGTTGCACGGAATTACGAAGAGCTGAGTGCACTCCTCCTGCTGCCCTGGGCTGCCATGACCAAGTCCTGTATTCCTTATATGGATGCCAGTAGTGTGCTCCTCAAAGGTCTGTGCTCCGTGGTATTGCGCCAGCTCAGCGTTGGCTGTTCTCTAGGGAAAAAATTGTGAAACTTCATAAACCTGAGTTAGGATTAGAGACTACAGATGCCAAGTCATAGTTCATGGTTGAGTGCCGACAGTAAACACCCAAGAAAGCGTGTATCAGGATGAAGGACATCTTACTGATTCGAATTTCCAGTGTCAGAAAGGTGAAGTTTTCCCTCCCAACCCCTCATACTCGTTAAAGAGTAACCCCCCATCCCTTGAAAAGAAATGAACTGTTAAGCAACGATGATTTGAAATTCAGATGGGAAAGTTTCTGGAATAAGGTTAAAAAAAATCCACCTTCACAAACAAAAAAGAAATAAAGCATTTAAATCAATGATAAATGAAAATATAATTTGGGATGAAGAAAATCATAGGATATGAAAATAGGGAAAGAAACACTGAAATATTAGAAAAATACAGAATATAGCAAAGAGAAAATAATTCTACAAATTTAAATGTTGCTATCATTCAGTTTCTTCTTATTTTTGCCTTTTTAAGTATTCACTAAATTTGAAATATTTCTATTGATGGTCAATTTAATATTTTTACTGGCAACTTAAACTCTTGGCTAAACTTCCCAGAGCTATTTATGGACATTTTCCCTTGCCTGCCTATAAAAACACATCACTGGAGTATTTTTAACAGCAAAGTCTGTATGAAACAGTTTACTTTCCTGACCTGTCAGATACTCATGGCTGTTTCTAAGTAGCCTCATTTGTAAGGCCTTGTGGATTTTTGTCCAATTGGTGTCATTTCAATTTAAAAAAATGTAGTGGTATATTCATTAAGAATACACTACCTATGGCTAGAATTCCACTTTACAAAATTCCATGCCACTGCAGGCATTTTTGTTACTTCCAGAAATAACTGTTATATCTAAGTGATCCTCAGGGAAGGATTTGCCATCTCTTTGATAAAATTGAAGTTGTAGACATGTTCTTTTTCTGCAAGCTTTAGCATTGTTTATATGTAAGGAGTGGAGAGCAACAACAACAAAAAGAAGTGTAACCTTATCTTTTTCAAATAAAATGGGCTATGGGGGTGTTTTTGAAAGGTTATAAAATATTATTCTCTACCTCTACACAGGAATGTATTCACATCATATACATCAGAAATGGCAAATTAAGGTTCATGGCAAGCGCCAATTGATTTTCACTGATTAATTGCTAGTAGCTGCCTGAAGCATCATACTGAGGAAAGTTCAGAGGTTTAGTTCAGTTTCAGGTAGAAAAAATGCCATCCTTTCAACATTTTCAAGAATTAAAAAAAAATGAATTTAGAGGAGTTATGGTCATGCTTGGCAGGAAGAAATAGTCTAGTCAGCACAGAGATACATGTGTCACCCACTAAAGAGTATTATTATTTTGGATAAATAGACTAATTTAAAAAAATTAAAGGTCTCTAAGATGTTTGGAAAGGCTGTTATATTAGTCACTGACAACTTAGTAGTAATTAATTAAATAATCTAACTTCTCACTGAGATCAGTTGAGCTGTGGGAATGGCATGGGGCATGATTATGGGAGAAGAAAAGGAGTGACAGGTTGTGGGCAGGAGACAGCAGAAGGAAAATGTAAAATTCTTTTGAGAGACTTTAGCTCCATAGATTGCCAATGTCTTATCTAGGTCACTGATGAAAATGTCAGACAGAACCAAGCCTTGATTTGACACCTGCTAAACATTATTTATGTCCTAAAGCTGACATCAAACTATCTGCAACCATTCTATTTATAAGTTTCCTGAGCACCCTTCTGCGTTTCCAGATCTAAAGTGCAGTAGCGCTCTCAGCACTTAGCTGATAAATTTGCCTGAAAATACAGTGCTCCGAATTAGCATAGGAATCTTCTTTCTGTGACTCTGTGTACTTTCATCTATAATTTAGGGGGTGGTGGAAATTGTATGAGACAGAGCTTGAAGAGACTTGTAGTTTAGCTGTAGCTTACCCTAGTTAATTGTGTAATTTTGTGCAAATCACTTAATCTCTCCAGACCTCAGAAAATGAAGGTTAACCCAGATCAGCACTTCCCAACTCTGGCCTCCAAATTCCAGAGAGTTCTACTCACTGACGAGGGCCCACAGATGCATACGTAAACCAGACTTGCCAGTGTGAAAGACTGTGGAGTTAGCATGTTCAAAAGAGGACCTTGTACCTAAATAGATGGGAAGCACTGGTGTAGGTTCCAGACAAGCTTCTATATTTCTCTGTCAGCCTTTGACTCATAGAACCCCTTTCTGTATTTAACAAGAATGTGTATATTTAACAAGGATAAGAACAATCACTTCTGTTTTGTAGAAAAGTAGCAACACATAGAAAAGTATAATTAATTAATTTTCCCTATCTTACATGATGGCTTCTTAATTGACATAGGAATTGAATGCTGTCTTTTGAGTAAGTTTATTTTCTTCAGTTTAGTACTGTATAGGATCCTATTATATTTAATATCTTACCTTGATAACAGTTAAACTAGCATGAATGTTTAATTAAATTAAATACATAACCATTTTATTTTATTTAATTAAAATGTTGTCCTTCAGTTGATCACTTCCAATGAGAAGCAGGGGCAGAATGTATGTACAGTAAGTGACTTTGGTACAAGATAGAATTTGACTTTTCCCAGAATTAAGTGGTGGAGTTTCACTGTCAGCTAACATGAGCTATGGAATCTTGGCTCTCTTCAGAGCTACATGACTCCAGATACTCTTTTAATATGCCAGGAGATATTTAATCTATGATGTCAAAACTCACAGGAAATTCAAGCTAAAGAATGCATGTTACGTACTCATTAGGACACCAGAGAAATTTTTTCAGGTCATACTGACACACTGTATGTGGAACTGACGTCTTTGAGAGATCAAACTTTCATGGATATTTTAAAAATGTGAACCCTGGTAAATCTTCACAAGAAGATCATATGTAAGCAGCTACACACAAACTTAGATTAGGTTTGTTAACTGATGAATGCCAGAAACTGTGGTCTTTCTTAATTGTATGCAGAAAGATACACATTTTCCATTTCTGAGAGTTTGTGATGTATTAAAAAAAGTCAAATGAGAAAATAGGATGTTTCCATCTTAAAACTGGATGTCTGGTGGGATAATACACAAATTCAACAATTCCCTCTTTGCACACCCCAGACCTTGTGGGGTACGTAAGGGGTAGACCATGAGTTTACATCAGGGGTTCATGAACCTGCTTAGGCAATGAGCCTTAACTGTTAACTGCTAAATATTATATTTTGTATATTTGTACTTCTATCTATCTTTTAAATGTACGCTGTTGTGGTTAATACAATACTAATTCATTAAAAGGTGTTACTGAAATTATAGTATCTTTTTTATACTATCTTTTTGATGTTATAGATATATTAACCTCCAATTTTAAGAGCTCAAGAATTATCACATAGATGTCTGTGAAATTTTGCTTGTAAAGGGTCCTCATTTTGAAAGGTTGGGAACCACTCTCTTAATGGATTCGGGGAAAGTGACAGGCTGCTGGAAAGCTATTTTCGGCAAAAGGGCTCTCTTGTCGCAGCTGCCTGTGTGCTAAGATAAAGGGCAAAGTGTGACTTGAGAAGAAGCAATCTTAACTAGCGTTTGCCAGGCCACAGACTAAATTTTACTTGTGTGCATAGTACTTGGTGTGAGAAATGACATCTCTCCCAAATCTCAGGTGTCAGCTTGTTTCAAAGTTATTTGGCCAAAATAGCAATAAAAATACAATAGGTTCTAAATATTCTATTCAAGCTCACACTCCTAGGCATTATATTATACCTCCGAGTCACTGGGATTTCAAGGTTAGTGAAACAACATAACAGATATTTGCTGTGGGAGGAAGAAAATAATCAAGTATTAGCTGGAAGAAATACTGAACAACTTTAGGTGTAGGAAGTTTCGCATAAGAGAATCTAGTTATGGCAAGCGAGGAGGCTACCGCCCTCTAGTGGTGTCCTTTCTACTTCTCAGGTACTTTAGCATATCCCGGAGAAGTTGCCTCTTTTACTTATTTTTTTTTTTCAAGTTTACCATCTATTGCCAATCCCATCTTCACATCACAAAAGTCTTTCATTTACCTTGTTAAAAGGCACATATTCTCATTGTATTTTTATGTATTGGTGGGTTGTGTTCGTTGCTATAAAAAATTTTTACATTTAACAAAATGTAAAAGGTACTAAGATAGTTCTAGTTCTTACTCCCGAAGAAGCCTGCAATATAGGTGATGATAAGTACAAAGATAAAATTTATGGTACATCTTTTCCCATCAAGGTCAAAGAGTAATTATATATATATACATATATATATGTGTGTGTGTGTGTGTGTGTGTGTGTATATATATATATATATATTTTTTTTTTTTCTGGGACAGAGTCTTACTCTGTCACCCAGGCTGGAGTGCAATGGCATGATCTTGGGTCTCTGCAGCCTCGACCTCCCTGGGGTGAAGTGATCCTCCCACCTCAGCCTCCCGAGTAGGCAGGGCTACAGACACGTGCCACCACACCTGGCTGATTTGTAAAATTTTTGTAGAGATGGGGTCTCGCTATGTTGTCCAGGCTGGTCTTGAACTGTAGGCCTCAAGCAATCCTGCCACCTTGGCCTCCCAAAGTGCTGCAATTATACGCATGAGCTGCTGTGCCTGGCCAGTAATTGTATCTTATTTACTAGAAAAATAATCATTTGATCTTACATGCTTGACTCACTGGTCATTGGGATGATTTTCAGTATTTTCAGCTGCAATTTTTAAAAAAGAAAATCATAATGGGAGAGGAGTTACGGTGTTAAATAAAACTAGTGTAGGTGTGTGTGATGGGGGAGGATGGCAAAGGGAGAGGAGAAGATTCCTGTCTGAGCCGTGTCTCTTATTTACACCTGTTCTTAAACTGTCATATTTATTTGTTGCCTTGCTTGTAAGAAGATGAAAGGTGGTTAAGCTGTCACTGACAGGTTTATTTTCCATGTATTAAAATGACATGACTTGATTAATTGTCGGTGTAACGACCTAATTATTAATGAACCTGCTGTCATGTACATGAGTGTCCAGAAAAATGTCTGGATTCCCAGTCGATTTATATCTTACGACTTCAAATTCTTTGATCTCTAAGGGTGAAGTGTCTGCTAGGAACAGGAATAGAGGTTTTAGAATTGTTTCTATAACCAAGATCAGTAAATTCTCATCGTGTAAGTGAAAGAGCATCATTTGTACTAAATACCACATTCATTTGTGCATCCACATATGATAGGGCTGCGTAATGGCAGCAAGAGAATCCTAAAACAAGTCACTCTAAAAGATTTCAGAATATCCCTAAACATTTAAAAAATTTTGCCCATGTCTAGAGTGAGTCTTTAAAAAAAAAATATATATATATATACATATATATACTTAATTTTAAAATATTTTTAGAGCCTGGTCTGTGAAAAATATTTGAAGGTAAACTGACTTAGAATATGGTCTGACTTTGACCTCATAAAGTTTCTGAGGAAGTTAGTTGATTTTATAGGATAAATATGAACTGATTGTGTGATATTACAGGGAAAAAAATCCAATGTAGACATTGCCTGCATTAATATAAGTATGGTATTTAGATCAGTGCTGTACTCTACCCTGGTCAGACACATGTGAAATACTCTTCTCTATTATGGGCATCAGAGTTTAATGATATCGACAAACTACATAGTATTCAGCAGCAGGAAATGTGGGAAGCCATATGAAGAATACTTAAACTGGGGAAATTACTTCTAAAATACGAAAGATGTAGTGCTGTTTTAGCTCTTTTCAAATATATGAAAGACTGTGCTGTAAAGGGAAAGGGGATGTGGGAGGAAAGAGGTATTGAGTCTAAATCTATCGTTTTAAAGTTTCATTATTTTCTATGTGTAATTTGTCTTGAATTTGTTCCTTTCCATTCCTCTCATGTAATATGTTTCATGTATTTGTCCCAGTCCCCCTATTTTCAATGTTTGTACTTTAATTTGGATTATTGTATTAAATGTATATCTGGTTTTTACTGCTCATCCCTGCCCTCATCCAGCTTTAATTCTGATACTAAATGATTCATCCTAAAATATTCTTGATATCATGAAAGTATAATTTGAATTTACGTCTGACGTTAAAATGTCCTCATTCATAATTTATGCTGATTTTACTTATTTAGTCTTATTTTCTAGAATTCCCGGTGGGCTATCTACTATACTTAAGTTTGTTCCTTCACTATCCCACACCTGTCATGTTCTTTGTCATCTGTGCCTTTTCTCAGGTTGTATCCCTTAACTACTCACTTCTAAACCTCTGTCCAGAGATTCCTCTTAATGCATCAAATTCCTGTCTATTCTTGGAGAGCCATTACATGCCATTCTTTCCTTTAGGCCCTTCGTAAACTATTATAGCCATAATAATTTTGTCTCATAATTCCTATAGCCTATTTTGATTATACCATAATTTTTAATACTTGATTTTTTAGTAAGATGTGGCTACAAAATAATACCTATTCCATGACATTGCTCATCGATCTCATTCTAGTCAAATGTTATACTTTTAGAGTATTTTGTTGCACTAATGGCCACGATTTGTCCAAGCCTCCTTGTATCCATGACCTTGGATAGATCCTCCTATAATGACTCTGGACCCAGCCATTTGACGTAATTTGGCCAAAGAGACAATAATCAAATGTGATACCAAAAAACCTGAAAAGTGTTATGCACTGGGGCTTGCCTTGTCTTGCTTCTTGTGAGAACCCTAAGACACTTAAATGAAAAAGTTGATGAAAACATGTAGCCCAGCCATCTCTGTCTCCCAGTTCAGGGCCAATACTAACCAAGAGCCAGCACCAATTGCAAGACACATGAGTGTGGCTGTCCTAAGAACCACTAACCCCCAGCCAACCCAACCAGCAGATGCAGCTGAATGTCTGAGCCCAGGAAAGACCAGCAGAAGAACTGGCCAACTGACATTGCCAGCTGGCATTGCTAACTCACAGAATTGCTAGCCAGAAATATAAATGTTGTTTTTTTCTGTCTAGCAATTTAAAACTGAGGACAGTTTAAGAGTGGCTTATTTTGCTGCAAAATATAACTAATGTAAGGGTTATTTATTAGCCAGTTTTTACTGGGGTATTAGATTTGCTTCAGCTTCTATACTGTGTGTAATTTTAGGACAAGAACCATGACATCTTTTCTAAAATTTCAAGATTTTAGACAGTGCTAGGTTCATAACT
The DNA here is from genome assembly GCF_000001405.40 of Homo sapiens. Lineage (NCBI taxonomy): Eukaryota > Metazoa > Chordata > Mammalia > Primates > Hominidae > Homo > Homo sapiens. Next base: position 94,403,596 of record NC_000004.12, on the reverse strand, counting down.
GATATTTGATAAATAATAATTTTAATATTGTTTTCTTGGTACCATGAGGATGAGATTAACAATCTTTACACACAATATCACCTGAATTTTCTTTTCTTTTCTTTCTTTCTTTTTTTTTTTTTTTGAGACAGGGTCTCACTCTATTGCCCAGGCTGGAGTGCAGTGGCATGATCTCAGCTCACTGTAACCTCCGCCTCCCGGGCTCAAGCGATTCTGCCACCTCAGCCTCCTGAGTAGCTGGGACCACAGGCACACACTACAACACCTGGCTAGTTATTTTTATTTTTATCTGTAGAGATGGGGTTTCACTATGTTGCCCAGGCTGGTCTTAAACTCCTGAGCCTAAGTTATCTGCCCACTCCCAAAGTGCTGGGATTATAGGTGTGAGCCACTATGCCTGGCCATCACCTGCATTTTCTAATTTTAGGTAAGATAAATCTTTTTGAAGAGGTCAAAGGACATGAACAGATACTTTTCAAAAGAAAACATATAATGTGGCCAACAAGCATATGAAAAAAAGCTCAATATCACTGATCATTAGGGAATTGCAAATCAAAACCACAATGAAATACCATCTCACACCAGTCAGGATGGCTATTACTAAAAAGTCATAACAAAATAACAGATGCTGGCAAAGTTGCAGAGAAAAGGAGATGCTTATACACTATTGGCGAAAGTGTAGATTAGTTCAACCATTGTAGGAAGCAGCGTGGCAATTCCTCAAAGAGCTAAAAACAGAACTGCTGTTCAACCCAGCAATCTCATTACTGGGTATGTACCCAAAGGATATTAATTGTTCCACCAAAAAGATGCATGCACGGGTATGTTCATTGCAGCACTATTCACAATAGAAAAGACATGGTATCAACCTAAATGCCCATCAATGGCAGATTTGCTCATGAAAACGTGGTACATATACAGCACGGAATACTATGCAGCCATAAAAAAGAACAAGATCATGTCCTTTGTAGGAACATGGATGGAGCTGGAGGACATTATCTTTAGCAAACTAATGCAGGAACAGAAAACTAAATACCGCATGTTCTCACTTATAAGTGGTAGCTAAAAGTTGGGAACACATGGACACAAAGAGGGAAACAACAGATACTGAGGCCTACTTAAGGATGGAGGGTGGGAGGAGGGAGAGGAGCAGAAAAAATAATTATTGGGTACTCGACTTAGTACGTGATGAAATAATCTGTACAATAAACCCCCATGACATGAGTTTGACTATCTAACAAACATCTACATGTACCTCTGAACATAAAATATAAGTTTTAAAAAAGAAAAGCCAAAAACAACAAAAAAAGATAATTTATTTTTCTTTAAAAAGATATGGAATTCATGATATGCATATACTGGATTGGACCTCCAATTTTTAAGAAGTTTCCGTAAAGAACAATACTGAGGCAATTGGCAAGATCTGAATGTGGGATGCATATTAGATAATAGTAATTCATCAATGTCAAATTTCTTGAATTTTGTAATTATACCATGATGCCGTAAAAGAAAGATTCAACAAGATACCATACTAAATTTACTACTAAGTGCACATATATGTACATATACATACATATATATGGAGAGGGGAAAGAGAAAGAACAGTTACAATGAAATGCTAAGAATTTGGTGAATCTTAAGTAAAAGGTAAAAGATGAGTTGTACCATTCTTGTACCTTTTCAGCACATTTGGAATTTTTATTTAAAAGAAAAAGAAAAAAAAAGGTAAGAGCCACTACTCACCAATTTAAGCATTTCATTTATAAAAGATCTAGGTCACTGTTGTTCAAAATGAAAGGTCTATTGGACATCAAGAATGAGTTGCCAGTTACTCCATCAACTCCACTGTCATCATTCATTATCCGAAAGCATTTACTCTTCAGTCCACTGTGGAGTATTAGGGAGGAAAAAGCAAGGAAGTGTTCAGTGAGGGCTGTAGACTGAGTGGCCAGCAATGAATGTGGGAATCTTTAGGCTTATCAGATTTTCTAACACATGCAAAATTTATAAGTAGATTCTAAGAATAAATGATTTCCAATATTATTCTTAGAAATAATGTAGTGTTAGGCCACTTGCAGTGGCTCATGCCTGTAATCTCACCACTTTGGGAGGCCAAGGTGGGCAGATCACTTGAGTTCAGGAATCTGAGACCAGCTTGGGCAATATGGCAAAACCCCATCTCTGTGAAATATACAAAATTTAGCTGGGCGTTGTGGCGCGGTGCCTATGGGGCTGAGGTGGGAGGATCTTGTGGTGAGCTGAGATTGAGCCACTGCACTCCAGCCTGGATGACAGAATGAGACTCTGTCTCAAACAATAGTGTAGTATTGACCTACTCTTCTGCTCTAAAATGAGGTCTCACTGCAGTGGAGAGCTATCTACTTGGCAATTAGTAAGTGATAACAGATGAGGGAAATGGTGCTGCAATTTTTTTCCCCTGGGGTAGGAGAAGCAAAATTTAAACTTAAACCATTCAGTTATCTCCTTTGTTACCAGCACTTTTCTCTGCTGACTGAGCTTTGGGATCATCTGGAATATAGCGTAGTGACCCCACTTAAAACTTATCTGACATTCTCTGACTTCATTACCATTGTATTTGTGTACAAATAAGAAAACACCATTTTCTGGAAAAACTCTGGAATGCTACAGACTAATTTGAGATATTTACTATTTCAAGAGAAACATTTTCTTTTTTACAGGAACTTTATACAAGCTGTTAAAGATACTATTTTATTAAAACAGACAACGAAAACAAGCAAAACAATCTGAAATTAGGCAAATGCTCAGTTTCAAATGCCATAAGAAGATGAATGGTTATGTTAGGTGTTTTAGGAATTGATTTAAACATCTTTTTCAAAGTATTGATTTTAGTAGGAAGTACAGATTTAAAGGATGAATTAATTTTGTGTATATGATAGAGACTGGACTCAGAGATAGTAGTCTCTTTCCTAGATAGATATTCTTAAATATAAAAATTGAATTCAAAGTTAGAAATATTAAGCTTCACTGCAGTTGACACAATTTGAGGGGAAAAGGGATAAATATATAGCCCAGTAATAAAATTATTGGTTAAATAAAGGTCAGGGAGAGAAAATTCTAGTTAAAATGGTACTTTCTTTAAAAGTATGCTATGCTTTCAGTTGCTGATGCAAACTGTAGCCAGATAAGATAAAACCTTCCTGTTCGTTTTCTATCTACGCCTTGTGTTGAACGCAAAGGCAAACAAAAGGCTTTGAAAATGCTGTAATCATTACTCAACATCAGTTATCAAAATCATAATCAGAACACACTTGCATGAAAACTCTCTTAACATAGACAAGTCCAAAGTATGTAGCTCTAATAAGAATAAGCTATGATTAAGTATACAAAGAAAACTCTCTTAAGAAAAAAATAATGTTTCCCATTTTGATTTAAAAAATATTTACCCTGTAACTGGAACTGGGGTAGGGGAGGAAAATGTTTCTCTTGAAATGCTAAAAAATTTAATTTCTTATATGATTTTGCAGTTTTCCCCCTTGTATAAATAAGAGAATGAAATTGCAATGCTTGTTATTTTAATGTAGATCTTACTCCTTCCAGGGGCCCACACACTTAACTGTCCCTGGTTCAATTTTATTCCTTAGCACTTCATACAGTTGCTGGTTGGAAGTAATGAGGTAAGTCCTGGCTTCTTCCTATTTATAGAACTGAGGCGATGACCAGAAATGACAGATGGGGCTTATGTCAGTTAGCATTTAAATTCAGTTCTGAAGCTCCAGGCCAAGAATGAGGAGTGGGCTCTTTATTAACTTTCCTATTTACTTTGTTAATCAGTTTATATTAATCAACTATATATGTACTTAGAACTGGCAAAGGCAAATTATCTTCTCTTACTTACTAAATAAGAACTTCTAAATAATTGCAAACCTCAAAATAAGTGAAGTTTAGTATATTCTTGTGGTTATTCAGGGAACTTCCCTCCTACCCCCGATGCAGCCTCAATCATTAATGATTTAATTTTAACATTTTATAATTACATAAGAAGAAAGAGACTAGACATGGTGGTGCACACCTGTAATCCTAGCTACTTGAGAGGTTGAGATAGGGAGCACAGGAGTTTGAGGCTATAATGCCCTATGATCATACCTGTGAATAGCACTGCACTCCAGCCTGGGCAACGTAGCAAGACCCCATCTCTGAAATGTTGGGTTTTTTTAGTCTTAAAAATTAAAAAGAAAAGAAGAGGTAATTTATTGTCCTGTCTGAATTTGTTCACCTATTAGCAGGCTTAGAATGCCATCCTTTAAGTGAATGAATATAGATTCTTTCATTTCAATTGATTATATGTTTTTAAAAGGTCATGCTGATCTCTGAATTGTACCGTTCATTCATTCATTCATATAACAAATATTTATTATGTGCCATGTGCCAGGCATTTACTAGAGAAGTTACAGTAAAAAAGACACAATCCTGACCCGACGCAGCATTTTACATCTTATATAGGCTACAAACGAGTGTATAGATAGTTACAATAAGCCCAGTACAGGAGTATAACCAGTTTTAGGAGGAGATTAAGTACAAGGTGCTATGGAAGCATATAAAAGAGACATACAATTCAATCTTTTGGCCCAGGAAACTTTCAAGTGAAAGTAATATCTGAGCTAAGAACTGAAGGATAAGTAGGAGTTACAAGTTCAAGATCAGAAATGGAGGAGGGAAGAGGGGGCAAAAGAAAGGTGGAAAATATTTTGGGCAGAGAGACATGAGCATAAACAAGACCCCAAAGGTTAGAGAAAGCATGATGTGAGCCTAGAGACTGGGGTAATGTGAGAAGAGGTGAGGTTGGAGATGTCAAGTATTGAAGGCAATGCTCATCCTCACTAGGATTTGTAACTTTACCCTGGGAACCATGAGGAGTCACTGTCGATTTCTAAGTAGGGGGCAGATGTATAAAAATCACTCTGTCTGCCTTTGGAAATCATCAGAGCAGGGATATACTGATAGGTATATAATTAAGAAGCTATGGCAAGGATCCCAGAAGGAATGCCGGAGATTTAAATCAAGAGATTGAGAGAAGTTGACAGACTTGAGAGAGATTTAGAAAGTGAACCCTAAAAGACTTGGTAGTTACTGGGGAAAGAGAGAGAGAGAAGAGTGAAAGACGATGCTGAAATTCCTTCCAGGCCAACTAGTGGATGGTGGCAATATTTATTTTGCATATGTGGATACGGCGCACTAGAGAGAAATTCATATTCCAGAAAAGGATCTGAAAGTCATCAGCGTACAGACTGTAATTAAAATCCTGAGCATGAATAAAACCATCCAGATGGCCGGGCATGGTAGCTTAAGCCTGTAATCCCAGAACTTTGGGAGGCCAAGGTGGGCAGATCACTTGAGGTCAGGAGTTCGAGACCAACCTGGCCAACAAGGTAAAACCTCATCTCTGTTAAAAATACAAAAATTAGCCAGGCGTGCTGGCACACGCCTGTAATCCCAGCTATTGGGGAAGCTTGAGCCCAGGGGGCAGAGGTTTCAGTGAGCCAAGATTGTGCCACTGCACTCCAGCCTGGGTGACAGACCAAGACTCCGTCTCAAAGCAAAGCAAAACAAACAAACAAACCATCCAGGAGGATGGGCAGAATGAAAAGAAGGCCTAAAACATAACCACAAAGGAGACCAACATTAAAAGAATGAGTTGAATAAGATGATATTGTTTGGATCTGTGTCTCAATCCAAATCTCATGTTGAATTGTAATTTCCAGTATTGGAGATGGGACCTAGTGGGAGATGATTGCATCATAGGGGTGAATTTTTCACGAATGCTTTAGCACCATTCTCTTGGTGCTGTCCTCACAATGGAGCATGCCTTCTCAAGAGATCTGACTGCTTAAAAGTATGTGGTACCTCATTATCTGTCTCTTGCTCCTGCTCCCACCATGTGAGACACCTGCTCCCCCTTCACCTTCTGCCATGATTGTAAGCATCCTGAGGCTTCCCCAGAAGCAGACACCAACATTGTGCTTCCTGTACAGTCTGCAGAACCATGAGCCAATTAAACCTCTTTTCTTGTAAATTACCCAGTCTCAGGTATTTCTTTACAGCAGTGCAAGAATGGCCTAATACACAAGATGAACCTGCAAAACAAACTGAGAGGGAATGTCTAAAGAGACATGAAGAAAACTTAAGGTGTCAAGGAAGTCAGCTGAAGCCAGTGTCACCAATCTTGATATCATATGGGATTGAGTAATATGCACACCAAGGATTACCTTCATGCTTATTAATGGCCCAGGCCTTGAAGATATTGCTTCCCCAGACTTGCAGGACATTCCCTTTCCCCTTGACCCCTACTTGACCATCTCTTATCTTCTTTCTTGCTAAACTTTCTGCAATACACATGTACTAACTTTACAATCTAAAAAAATTAATTTTTTGAAAGTCAGCAATTTCTTGCAAAATAATACATGTTACAATGTTAGTTCAATAATAACTTTTAGTATTTTTGTTTAAATTTAGTATATATTTTCAAGAAGTCTTTGCTTAAAAAATATCTTTTCTGTGACCAGGTGTGGTGGCTCATGCCTGTAATCCAAGCACTTTGGGAGGCCGAGGAGGGCAGATCACGAGGTCAGGAGATCGAGACCATCCTGGCTAACACACGGTGAAACCCCATCTCTACAAAAAGAAAAAAAAAATTAGCCGGGCATGGTGGCGGGAGCCTGGAGTCCCAGCTACTCGGGAGGCTGAGGTAGGAGAACGGCACGAACCCGGGAGGGAGAGCTTGCGGTGAGCCGAGATTGCGCCACTGCGCTCCAGTCTGGGCTACAGAGCGAGACTCCATCTCAAAAAAAAAAAAGTATATATATATATACACAAATATGTATGTTTTTTGTGATTTTAAGTTTTAAGGTATTTTTGTTTTCCCGTTACTAAAAAAAAATTCTAGTAATACAGATTGTCTGTATTTTGAAGTTTAAATATGTGACGAACAATTAATGACCTTTTCTAGAAATAGGACAGAAGAAAACAAAAATTCCAATCACTTTAACATAATTTAATGGAGCAAATGTGAATTCTTTCTATTTTCTTGTTTTGTTGTTGTTGAGACAGAGTCTCGCTTTGTCACCCAGGTTGGAATGCAGTGGCTCGATTTTGATCTTGGCGTTCACTGCAACCTCTGCCTCCCAGGTTCAAGCAATTCTCTGCCTCAGCCTCCCTAGTACCTGGGGATTACAAGTGTGTGCCACCATGATCGGCTAATTTTTGTGTTTTTAGTAGAGATGGGGTTTCACCGTGTTGGCCAGGCTGGTCTCGAAGTCCTGACTTCAAGTGATCCACCCGCCTGAGCATCCGGAAGTGCTGGGATTACAGGTGTGAGACGCCACGCCCAGCCTAATCTTTCTACTTTCTTATATCATGTTCATTTTATTCTACCTAGAACTCACCAAGTGGAGTCTGTATTATCTTTTTGTAATTTTGTTATATTGTTCCAAAATTTCTCCTGCTTTTTCTCTTGGAATAGGCTTTCTACAAAAGGTTTAAATTTTGAAGAAGAAACCAAGCTGTTGACTTTGATGAGATATGTACAGATATGAGTTAGAAAAATATTCTATTACTTCCATTTAGATAAAATGTTTTAAATCAATACTAACTCATGGAAATGTAAACCTTTGTTTTGAAAATAAAAAGAAGACTCATGATTTTTATTTTGTGAGCAAGCTTCCAAAAGAGAAATATAATTCAGTTTCTTGAAAAAAATAAATCTACTTAAAGGCATAATTCCCAGAAAACACCTGCATCTTCTCTGATTCCAAGAATATGACTGATTAGACATGAACAATTCTCTGCAAAAGCCATGAGTAATTGTGTTCATTTGCCAATACCACGCTAGATGACTGGGACAAGTTACCAGAGCTGCAGAACAAAGAGCAAGGGTTCAAACCAGGATAGAGTATCTTCTAATAATGCTTAACTTTGAGGAACAAGAGGCTCTTCATCAAAGAACATGATGCCTCAAACATGAGGAAACTTTATTTCTGTGCCTTCCTTCCAAAATATTACATGTAATATTGGGTATGCTAGGTAAGATTACAGCAAGATGTCAGCTCCATCTTTTGTCATAGAAAACATTGTGGCTTGAATAATTTTATGAGTGATTTTACTTCACATGGCAGAGAAACACAAATTAAGCTTTATATTTTTATGTTCTATAGGAGTAAACTAAATTTCATCAGTCATCCAGCTACTTTGAAAGTTATTGTGAAACAGAAAAATGTGAATGCCATTTTGTTGAAACACTATTACATATATAAGTGTGCATGTTTCTATGTTTATGTATGTAAATATACATATATATAGTATGACAAATCATTGAGCTATGCAACTAATAAAAATATCTGAAAGATTCTGAAAATAGACTATAATATATCCAAAGTTTTAATTATATGCCTCGTGTTTTCCAAGTAATATGGAAAAACTAAACTTCAATAGCTGTTTTTATAGTTCCTTCTCTCCAACTGAAACCAAAATCAGAAATGAAAAATTGTAGATTTTAAATGATGCTAAATACTATTGTAAGTCCAAAATCTTTACTATTTTAATACAGAAAACTTTGTTCAAAGCATGAATCCAAATACTATTTTGGAAAAATGATTATTTTATTTATCAATTGTTTTTCAAAATACAATCACCATTTAATATATTTTCCTGACTAAATCTTAGTTAAAATATAGATAATATTTGGATATTTAGACATCTTAAGGGAATTTTTAAAAACCTAAGTTTAAGAATAAAGTTTATTTTTACTTTATGTTTGTATTTTTCCATAGGTTATTGGGGTACAGGCGGTATTTGGTTACATGAGTAAATTCTTTAGTGGTGATTTGTGAGATTTTGGTGCACCCATCACCCCAGCAGTATACACTCCACCCTATTTGTAGTCTCTTATCCCTTGCCCCACTCCCATCCTTCCCCACAAGTCCCCAAAGTCCACTGTATCATTCTTATACCTTTGCATCCTCGTAGCTTAGCTCCCACACATCAATAAGAACATATGGTGTTTAGTTTTCCATTCCTGAGTTTCTTCACTTCGAATAGTTTGAAATCAGGTAGTGTGATGCCTCCAGACTTGTTCTTTTTGCTTAGTCTTGCTTTGGCTATGCGGTCTCTTTTTTGGTTCCATATGAATTTTAGAATTGTTTTTTTCTACTTCTGTGAAGAATGATGGTGCTTTTTTGATGGGAATTGCATCAGATTTGTAGATTGCTTTTGGCAGTATGGTCACTCTTACAATATTGATTCTACCCGAAAAGAGTTATTTTCCTATCGAAATCCTTGGCATCTTTATCAAAAATCAATTGACCGCTTTCTTCACTTTCAAAATTGTCTTGGATTTTCTAGATATTTTGCTTTTTCATATAGATTTTAGAATCACCTTGTACATTTCTCCAAAACAGCCTGTTGAGATTTTGACTGAAAATGTTGGAACTATAGATCAATCTGGAGATGACACTTCCTAGTTTTAAATTGCAACACATTTTTAAAGATTCAAATTTTATAAGAAACTTTTCAACTTATTGTATTGATTTCACTCTCCCTCATCCCCCCCACCATTATTTTATTTGTTTTTTTTCTTTCTTTCTCAAAGCTAAATAATTATTTTGATTGAAAAACTAAAATCCACTTGCCTGCAACTGGGAAGAGCCAGTCTAAAGGCTTGAACCTCAAAAACAAGGTATTGCTTTTATCTAGTGACAGAAACGTGACTTGTATTCATAAATTCTCATATAATGGTCACAAAATATAGGTTAAGTTTTTGTGTTATGGCATTTTATTGTCAGGATATTTTGAACATCTTAACTACACGAGAATCTCATTTAATGAGGGCCCATGAGAGACATTTTTATTATCAGTGCTAAGAAAAGTTGTACTTCTGCTAAGCAACCAGAATATTTTAATTTCAATGGATACTGAATATTAAATTCATCATATTTCCTTCCAGGCAATCAAAAAATTTGTGGTTTAATTCCAGCATTTGTGTAAGAACTTATGATTTCCAGTATATCCACTTCACACTTGCCTTCGTCTTACTATCCTATTTGTCTTGCCCTGATTTTATTTTTCTATTTATTTTATATTTTATTGTATGTACTTATTTTTGAAACAGTTATTTTTAATGATATTGTATGTGTATACATACACACATTATGTATATATGCAACACATGTATACACATATATAAATTCCATTGCATCATTACTAATCTTTGAGATAATAATTATGCCCATTTTTTAGTACAAACTAACTAGTTTTTAGAGAGAATACATTCTTATTTTACCAATCAACATTATTATTTCAGTAACTAAATATTTATTTATTTATTTGAGACAGGGTTTTGTTCTGTTGCCCAGGCTGGAGCTCAGTGGTGCGATCTCGGCTCACTGCAACCTCTGCCTCCCGGGTTCAAGTGATTCTCCTGCCTCAGCCTCCTGAGTAGCTGGGATTACAGGTACCTGCCACTACACCTGGCTTATTTTTGTGTTATTATTTTTTATTATTTTATTTTTTTTCGAGATGGAGTCTCGCTGTGTCACCCAGGCTGGAGTGCAGTGGCGTGATCTTGGCTCACTGCAAGCTCTGCTTTCCGGGTTCACGCCATTCTCCTGCCTCAGCCTCCCGAGTAGCTAGGACTACAGGCGCCCGCCACCATGCCCGGCTAATTTTTTTATATTTTTAGTAAAGATGGGGTTTCATCGTGTTAGCCAGGATGGTCTCGATCTCCTGACCTCATGATCCGCCTGCCTCGGCCTCCCAGAGTGCTGGGATTACAGGCATGAGCCACCGCACCTCGCCCTATTTTTGTAATTTTAGTAGAGATGGGGTGCCATTTTGACCGGGCTGATCTTGAACTCCTGACCTCAAGTGACCTGCCCACCTTGGCCTCCCAAAGTGCTGGGATTACAGGCGTGAGCTGTCACACCTGGCATCAGTAACTGAGTATTTAATACAAGTAACCTCAACTTAGTTCTTCAATTTGAATAGATCCTTTAGGAAAGAGGAAGACTATTCGACTAAGACTAATAAACTAAGTATATTATTGAAGCTAAATTATTTGTCCTCCATTCTATCTCCACTTCCCACCTCCCCAGCTGTAGAGCCCTGGAACTGCTCCTTCATCATCAGCACAAACTCCGGTCTCCAAGGAGCCCCTTCACTTGCCTTACTGCAGGGCTGGTGCTCTCCAGCAGCCCAGTGGAGTGGTGGATGTGATTCTTTCAAACGTCAGAGACTTTGCTATCTAGATGCAAGATTAGAAAACTTTCTGCTCCTCATTTCATCTTTCAGAACATGACCCACCCAATCTCTTGTGAAAAGGAATCCTATTTCTTAAGGCTTATACCATTTTACCTCTATAACCTGCTAATTTTCTTTGTCATTGCTATCATTTGATTACTTTCCTTTGATCATCAAAAACTTTGCACTTGATTCAGAGTCTTTCCCCTGCTCTAATTCCTGCCATCATTGTGGGTGGTTTCAATACCCATAGTATCTTTTCGATGCTCTGATTTCTCATTTTCTTACCAAACTCATCTTTTACGGCCTTTTCTACACTCAGTTATCTCTTCCCCTGGTCTGGATCTTTTAATGAAATTCTGGATCTTTTAATGAAAAAGAACAAAATTATCAATATTCCAAATAAATGGCTTAGACATTGAGCACTCTTACCATAATGTCTCATTTTTCTGGATTGATTCTTTAACTACTCCTACCTTGATGATCCTTCAGTGAAGGTCCAGTCCCCATTTCTATATCCTCTCCCTATGTTTAATTATCTTCCTATTCAGTTTATAGTTCATGGCCCATAATTCTAAGAACAATTTTGTCAGTGCCATAAACTGTCTTATCTCTCCTGTTTAGCAAAAACTAATGCAGTGTGACCTCCACTCTTTCATTTTTGTATATCTTAACCTGGATAACAGACCAATTTTGGAGAAAAATCACAAAGTAGGGCATATCCATTCAATAATACTGGAAATTTGCTATCGTCAACTTCAACTGGACTTTCAACATGGCCCTAAAATCCTAGTGTGTTTCCCTAAGCAAGTTGCTTTCTTACTTGCTGGACTGTTTTACATTTTCTGTGCTCTACTTTATGCCTTAGACTCTTATCCCATTTTCCCTTTTAGCCCAGATAAAATCAAAATCAACTTCCCACTACCTCACCATCTTCCGCTTATCTCTTCCCATTCTTGTCTGGTGCATCGGTGGAGAATCCCCTTCTCTTGTCTTCACCTGTTTTCCACCTTTGCCCAGGAATTCTCCTATTCTTGCCTTTAAAGAACCTTAGATAATGGATTCTCCCTCCTCTCCACTGTCTCTTCAACTTCTTTGCTTTTAATGAGGTTTTCTCATCAACATTTTAATTTGATCTTTGAGAAAGCTCAGCTTAAAAAAAATCCTTCTCCAACTACATGGTACATTTTAACATTTTTAGTATCATTAACAGTCAAAATCTATAAGCCATTTTGAGGTGCAGCCTCATCAATGCTACTTTTCCTGTGCACCTGAACCCAATTGCATGCTACAATATATTCAAAGTTAACCTCCTCTTGCCAGCAGGTGGCTCTGTGTCAAAAAGGGAAAAGGAAACAAAATAAAAATACAAATTGTGAGATCTACAATCTAAGATTTGGACCCAGGTCCTGGTCCCTACTACTCATTTTTTTTATACTTTAATGGTTACTACAGGAAAGCTACTTACTATCCAGAGAAGAAGAGATATCCATGAAGAAACAAATTAATAAAAAACTAAAGCAGTTATTTCAAGGAGATTTCAAATGAACTTCAGATCTATATGTATTTTGTTTTTTTTAAATTAACATAGCCAAAAAGATAAGAGGAGGAAAAATGGTAAGTACATTTAAAATGACTACACACATATCTCATTTTAGTGATCTTTGCTTTATTGATCTTCATAGATATTGCGTTTTTTACAAACTGAAGGTTTGTGGCAACCCTGTGTCAAGCAAGTCTATTGGCACTAGTTTTCCAACAGCATGTGCTCACTCCATGCCTCTGTGTAATTCTTGCAATATTTCTAAATTATTATTACATCTGTTATGGTGATCTGTGATCAGTGATCTCTAATGTTACTACTGGAATTGTTTAGGGGTGCCATGAACTGTGCCCTTATAAGATAGTGAACTTAATCAATAAATGTGTGTGTTCTGACTGCTCTACCAACCAGCCTTTTCCCTGCTTCTCTCGCTCTCCTTGGGCCTCCCTGTTCTCTGAGACACAACAGTATTAAAGTTAGACCAATTAATAGCAATGGCCTCTAAGTGTTCAGCTGAAAGGAAGAGTCACATGCCTTTTACTTTATTTTTAAATTTATTTTTATAGAGCCAGAGTCTTGCTCTATTGCCCAGACTGGAGTGCAGTGGTACAGTCATGGCTCACTGTAACCTCGAAATCCTGAGTTCAAGCAATCCTCCTACCTCAGGCTCCTAAGTAGCCAGGACTACAGGCTTGCACTATCACCCTTGGCTAATTTTTAAACTTTTTGTAGACATGGGGTTTCACTTTGTTGCCCAGGCTGATCTCAAACTTCTTGTCTCAAATGATTCTCCTGCCTCAGCCTTCCAAAATGCCGGGATTACAGGCATGAATCACCACACCCAGCAGTGACCCTCACTTCAAGTTAAAGGCTAGAAATAAGCTTAGTGAGGTAGGTATGTCAAAAGGCTGAAAGCCAGGCCTCTTGTGCCAAACAGCCAAGTTGTGAATGCAAAGGAAAAGTTCTTGAAAGAAACTAAAAGTGCTACCCCAGTAAACAGGTGAATGATACGAAAGTGAAGCAGTCTTATTGCTGATAGAGAAAAAGTTCGAGTGGTCTGGATAGAAGATCAAAGCAGCTAGAACATTCCCTTAAGCCAAAGCCTCATGCAGAGCAAGACCCTATCTCTCTTCAATTCTATGAAGGCTGAAAGAGGAGAATACCGCAGAAGAAGAGTTGGAAGCTAGCAAAAGTTGGTTCATGAGGTTTAAGGAAAGAAGTTGTCTCCATAATATAAAAGTACAAAGTAAAACAGCAAGTGCTGATGGAGAAGCTGCAGTAAGTTGTCCACAAGACCTAGCTAAGACAAAGAATGAAAGTGGCTAAACAACAGATTTTCAATGTGGACAAAACAGTTACATTGGAAGAAGATGCCATCTAGGACTTTCCTAGCTAAAGAGAAGTCAGTGCCTGGCTTTCAAACTTCAAAGGACAGGCTGACTCTCTTGTTAGGGGCTAATGCAGCTTGTGACTTTATGTCAAAACCAACGTTCATTTATCATTCTGAAAATCCTAGAGCTGTTAGTGTTAGGCCTCTGAGCCCAAGCCAAGCCATCGCATCCCCAGTGACTTGCACCTATATGCCCAGATGGCCTGAAGTAACTGAAGAATCACAAAAGAAGTGAAAATGGTCTGTTCCTGCCTTAACTGATGACATTGTCTTGTGAAATTCCTTCTCCTGGCTCATCCTGGCTCAAAAACTCTGCTACTGAGCACCTTGCGATCCCCACTCTTGCCTGCCAGAGAACAAATCCCCTTTGACTGTAATTTTCGTTTACCCAAATCCTATAAAACGGCCCCACCCTTATCTCCCTTCATTGACTCTCTTTTTGGACTCAGCCCACCTGCACCCAGGTGAAATAAACAGCCTTGTTGCTCACACAAAGCCTGCTTTGTCTCTTCACACAGACACGCATGAAATTTGGTGCCGTGACTTGGATTGGGGGTCCTCCCTTGGGAGATCAATCCCCTGTCCTCCTGCTCTTTGCTCCGTGAGAAAGATCCACTTAGGACCTCAGGTACTCAGACCCACCAGCCCAAGGAACATCTCAACAATTTTAAATCGGGTAAGCAGCCTCTCTTTACTCTCTTCTCCAACCTCTCTCACTATCCCTCAACCACTTTCTCCTTTCAATCTTGGCACTACCCTTCAATCTCTCCCTTCTCTTAATTTCAATTCCTTTTATTTTCTGGTAGAGACAAAGGAGACACGTTTTATCCGTGGACCCAAAACTTCGGCGCCAGTCATGGACTCGGGAAGGCAGCCTTCCCTTGGTGTTTAATCATTGCAGGGATGCCTCTCTGATTATTCACCCATGTTTCAGAGGTGTCTGACCACGTAGGGATGCCTGCCTTGGTCCTTCACTCTTAGCTAGCGGCAAGTCCTGCTTTTCTGGGGGAGGGACAAGAACCCTGACCCCTTCTCTCCCTGTCTCTACCCCTTCTCTGCTTTTCTGGGGGACAAGAACCCACTGATCCCTTATTTCCGCACCCTGACCCCTTATCTCTGTGCCCCGATCCCTTATTTCCATGCCCTGATCCCTTATCTCTGTGCCCCAATCCCTTATTTCCATGCCCCAACCCCTTATCTCTGCACCCCGATCCCTTATTTCCACACCCCAACCTCTTATCTCTGCACCCTGATCCCTTATTTCCATGCCCCAACCTCTTATCTCTGTGCCCCGATCCCTTATTTCCATGTCCTGACCTCTTATCTCTGTGCACCAACCCCTTATTTCCACACCCCAACCCCTTCACCACTTTTCTGGGGGGCAAGAACCCCCAAGCCCTTCTCTCCATGTCTCTACTCTCTCTTTTCTCTGGGCTTGCCTCCTTCACTACGGGTAAGCTTCTGCCCTCCATTCTCCCTCCATTCTCCCTTCTTCTCCCTTAGCCTGTGTTCTTAAAAACCTAAAACCTCTTCAACTCACACCTGACCTAAAACCTAAATGCCTTATTTTCTTCTGCAATGCTGCTTGACCCCAATACAAACTCCACAGTGGTTCCAAATAGCCAGAAAGCAGCACTTTCAATTTTTCCATCCTACAAGATCTAAATAATTCTTGTCGTAAAATGGGCAAACGGTCTAAGGTGCCTGACATCCAGGCATTCTTTTACACATCAGTCCCTCCCTAGTCTCTGTTCCCAGTGCAACTCATCCCTAATCTTCCTTCTTTCCCTCTCGCCTGTCCCCTCAGTCACAACCCCAAGCGTCACTGAGTCTTTCTAATCTTCCTTTTCTACAGACCCATCTGACCTCTCCCCTCCTCGCCAGGCCAAGCTAGGTCCCAATTCTTCCTCAGCCTCTGCTCCTCCACCCTATAATCCTTTTATCACCTCCCCTCCTCACACCTGGTCCGGCTTACAGTTTCATTCCATGAGTAGCCCTCCCTCACCTGCCCAGCAATTTCCTCTTAAAAAGGTGGCTGCAGCTAAAGGCATAGTCAAGGTTAATGCTCCTTTTTCCTTATCCCAAATCGGAGAGCATTTAGGCTCTTTTTAATCAAATATAAAAACCCAGCCCAGTTCATGGCTCGTTTGGCAGCAACACTGACATGCTGTACAGCCCTAGACCCTAAAAGGTCAAAAAGCCGTCTTATTCTCAATATACATTTTATTACCCAATCTGCTCCCAACATTAAATAAAACTCCAAAAATTAAATTCCAGCCCTCAAACCCCACAACAGGACTTAATTAACCTCGCCTTCAAGGTGTACAATAATAGAAAAAAGTTGCAATTCCTTGCCTCCGCTATGAGACAAACCCCATCCACATCTCCAGCACACAAGAACTTCCAAATGCCGGAACTGTAGCAGCCAGGCGTTCCTCCAGAACCTCCTCCCACAGGAGCTTGCTACAAGTGCTGGAAATCTGGCCACCGGGTCAAGGAATGCCTGCAGCCCAGGATTCCTCCTAAGCCATGTCCCATCTGTGCGGGACCCCACTGAAGATCGGACTGTTCAACTCACCTGGCAGCCACTCCCAGAGCCCCTGGAACTCTGGCCCAAGGCTCTCTGACTGACTCCTTCCCAGATCTTCTCGGCTTAGTGGCTGAAGACTGACACTGCCTGATCACCTCGGAAGACCCCTAGACCATCATGGATGCCAAGCTTTAGGTAACTTTCATAGTGGAAGGTAAGTCCGTCCCCTTCTTAATCAATATAGAGGCTACCCACTCCACATTACCTTCTTTTCAAGGGCCTGTTTCCCTTGCCTCCATAACTGTTGTGGGTATTGACGGCCAGGCTTCTAAACCTCTTAAAACTCCCCAACTCTGGTGCCAACTTACACAATACTCTTTTAAGCACTCCTTTTAGTTATCCCCACCTGCCCAGTTCCCTTATTAGGCTGAGACACTTTAACTAAATTATCTGCTACCCTGACTATTCCTGGGCTACAGCCACACCTCATTGCCACCTTTTCTCCCAGTTCAAAGCCTCCTTCACATCCTCCCCTTTTATCTCCCCACTTAACCCACAAGTATGAGACATCTCTACTCCTTCCCTGGCAACCAATCACATGCCCATTACCATCCCATTAAAACCTAATCACCCTTACCCCGCTCAACGCCAATATCCCATCCCACAACATGCTTTAAAAGGATTAAAGCCTGTTATCACTCGCCTGCTACAGCATGGGCTTCTAAAACCTATAAACTCTCCTTACCATTCCCCCATTTTACCTGTCCTAAAACCAGACAAGACTTACAGGTTAGTTCAGGATCTGCGCCTTATCAACCAAATTGTTTTGCCTATCCACCCCGTGGTGCCAAACCCATATACTCTCCTATCCTCAATACCTCCTTCTACAACCCATTATTCTGTTCTAGATCTCAAACATGCTTTCTTTACTATTCCTTTGCACCCTTCATCCCAGCCTCCCTTGGCTTTCACTTAGACCGACCCTGTCACCCATCAGGCTCAGCAAATTACCTGGGCTGTACTGCCACAAGGCTTCACAGACAGCCCCCTTTACTTCAGTCAAGCCCAAATTTCATCCTCATCTGTTACCTATCTTGGCATAATTCTCATAAAAACACACCTGCTGTCCCTGCTGATTGTGTCCAACTAATCTCCCAAACCTCAATCCCTTACAAAACAACAACTCCTTTCCTTCTAGGCATGGTTAGTGCGGTCAGAATTCTTACACAAGAGCTGGGACCGCACCCTGTAGCCCTTCTGTCCAAACAACTTGACCTTACTGTTTTAGCCTAGCCCTCATGTCTGCATGCAGCAGCTGCCGCTGCTTTCATACTTTTAGAGGCCCTAAAAATCACAAACTATGCTCAACTCACTCTCTACATTTCTCATAACTTCCAAAATCTATTTTCTTCCTCATACCTGACACATATACTTTCTGCTCCCCGTCTCCTTCAGCTATACTCACTCTTTGTTGAGTCTCCCACAATTACCATTTTTCCCAGCACGGACTTCAATCCGGCCTCCCACATTATTCTGGATACCACACTTGACCCTTATGACTGTATCTCTCTGATCCACCTGACATTCACCCCATTTCCCCATATTTCCTTCTTTCCTGTTCCTCACCCTGATCACATTTAGTTTATTGATGGCAGTTCCACCAGACCTGATCGCCACTCACCAGCGAAGGCAGGCTATGCTACAGCATCTTCCACATCTATCATTGAGGCTACCACTCTGCCCCACTCCACTACCTCTCAGCAAGCCGAATTAGTTGCCTTAACTCAAGCCCTCACTCTTGCAAAAGGACTACACGTCAATATTTATACTGACTCTAAATATGCCTTTTATATTCTGCACCACCAAGCTATTATATAGGCTGAAAGAGATTCCCTCACCACGCAAGGGTCCTCCATCATTAATGCCTCTTTAATAAAAACTCTGCTCATGGCCGCTTTACTTCCAAAGAAAGCTAGAGTCATTCACTACAAAGGCCATCAAAAGGCGTCAGATCCCATTGCTCTAGGCAACGCTTATGCTGATAAGGTGGCTAGACAAGCAGCTAGCTTTCCAACTTCTGTCCCTCACGGCCAGTTTTTCTCCTTCACACGAGTCACTCCCACCTACTCCCCCGCTGAAACTTCCATCTATCAATCTCTTCCCACACAAGGCAAATGGTTCTTAGACCAAGGAAAATATCTCCTTCCAGCCTCACATGCCCATTCTATTCTGTCGTCATTTCATAACCTCTTCCATGTAGGTTATGAGCCGCTAGCCCGTCTCTTAGAACCTCTCATTTCCTTTCCATCCTGGAAATCTATCCTCAAGGAAATCACTTCTCAGTGTTCCATCTGCTATTCTACTACCCCTCAGGGATTATTCAGGCCTCCTCCCTTTCCTACACATCAAGCTCGGGGATTTGCCCCTGCCCAGGACTGGGAAATTGACTTTACTCACATGCCCCGAGTCAGAAAACTAAAATACCTCTTAGTCTGGGTAGACACTTTCACTGGATGGGTAGAGGCCTTTCCTACAGGGTCTAAGAAGGCCATCGCAGTCATTTCTTCCCTTCTGTCAGACGTAATTCCTCGGTTTGGCCTTCCCACCTCTATACAGTCTGATAGCAGACCGGCCTTTATTAGTCAAATCAGCCAAGCATTTTTTCAGGCTCTTGGTATTCAGTGAAACATTTATATCCCTTACGGACCTCAGTCTTCAGGAAAGGTAGAACAGACTAATGGTCTTTTAAAAACACACCTCACCAAGCTCAGTCACCAACTTAAAAAGGACTGGAAATACTTTTACCACTTTCCCTTCTCAGAATTCAGGCCTGTCCTTGGAATGCTACAGGGTACAGCCCATTTGAGCTCCTGTATGGATGCTCCTTTTTATTAAGCCCCAGTCTCATTCCAGACCCCAGACCAACTTAGACTGTGCCCCCAAAAACTTGTCATCCCTACTATCTTCTGTCTAGACAGACTTCTATTCACCATTCGCAACTACTCATACATGCCCTGCTCTTGTTTACACTGCCGGTTTACACTGTTACTCCAAGTCATGACAGTTGATATCTCCTGGTGCTATCCCCAAACTGCCACTCTTAACTCTTAAAGTAAATCAATAATCTTTGCTGGCAGGACTATGCTGAATCTTGTTAGGCACTCTCTAATTAGATGTCCTAGGTCCTCCCAATTCTTAGTCCTCTAATACCCATTTTTCTCCTTTTATTTGGACCTTGTATCTTCTGTTTAGTTTCTCAATTCATCCAAAACCGTATCCAGGCCATCACCAATCATTCTATACGACAAATGTTTCTTCTAACAGCCCCACAATATCACCCCTTACCACAAGACCTCCCTTCAGCTTAATCTCTCCCACTCTAGGTTCCCACGCCACCCCTAATCCCGCTTGAAGCAGCCCTGAGAAACATCGCCCATTCTCTCTCTCCATACCACCCCCCCAAAATTTTCACCTCCCCAACACTTCAACACTATTTTGTAGCACTATTTCATTTTATTTGTCTTAGTAATATAAGAAGGCAGGAATGTCAGGCCTCTGAGCCCAAGCCAAGCCATCGCATCCCCAGTGACTTGCACCTATATGCCCAGATGGCCTGAAGTAACTGAAGAATCACAAAAGAAGTGAAAATGGCCTGTTCCTGCCTTAACTGATGACACTGTCTTGTGAAATTCCTTCTCCTGGCTCATCCTGGCTCAAAAGCTCCCCTACTGAGAACCTTTCAATCCCCACTCCTGCCCGCCAGAGAACAAATCCCCTTTGACTGTAATTTTCCTTTACCCAAATCCTATAAAATGGCCCCACCCTTATCTCTCTTCATTGACTCTCTTTTCGGACTCAGCCCGCCTGCACCCAGGTGAAATAAACAGGCTTGTTGCTCACACAAAGCCTGTTTAGTGGTCTCTTCACACTGACGTGCATGAATTATGCTAAATCTACTCTGCCTGTGCTCTATAAATGAAACAACAAAGCCTGGATGACAGCACATCTGTTTACAGCATAGTTTATGGAATATTTTAAGCCCATTGTTGAGACGTATTACTTAGAAAAAAAAGATACTTTTCAAAATATTACTGCTCATTGACAATGTACCTGGTCACTCAAGAGCTCTCATGGAGATATACAAGGAGTTGAATATTGTTCTCATTCCTCCAACACAACATGCATTCTGCAGTCCGAGATCAAGGAGGAATTTCAACTTTCAAGTGTTATTAAATAAGAAAAACATTTTATAAGCTATAGCTGTCATAGACAGCAATTCCTCTGATGGATCTGGGCATAGTAAATTGAAAACCTTCTGGAAAAGAGTCACGATTCTAGATCCCATTAAGAATATTCACAATTCATCGGAAATGGTCAAAATATCAACATGAACAGGAGTTTGGAAGAGGTTGATGCCAACCTTCACAGATGACTTTGAGGGGTTAAATGCTTCAGTGGAGGAAGTAAGTGCCTATGTGATGGAAATAGCAAGAGAACTAGAATTAGAAGTGGAGCCTGACGATGTAACTGAGTTGTTGCAATCTCGTAATTAAACTTGAATGGATGACAAGTTGCTTCTTATGGATCAGCAAAGTGGTTTCTTGAGATGAAAACTACTGCTGGTGAAGATGCTGTGAACATTGTTGAAATGACAATAAAGGATTTAGAATATGACATAAACTTAGTTGAGAAAGCAGTAGCAGGATTTGAGAGGATGACTTCAATTTTGAAAGAAGTTCTACTGTGGGTAAAACGCTATTCATCAGTATCACATACTACAGAGAAATCTTTTGTGAAAGGAAGAGTCAATGGATGCAGCAAACTTCATTATTGTCTTATTTTTCAGTAATTGCCACAGCCACTCCAACCTTCAGTGACCACCACCCTGATCAGTCAGCAGCCATCAACATGGAGGCAAGACCCTCCACCAACAAAAACTAACTGAAGATTTAGATGATCGTTAGCATTTTTTAAAAATAAGGTATTTTTAAAATTAAGGTGTGTACATTTCTTTAGACATAAGGCTATTGCACAGTAAATAAACTACCAGATACTCAGTGAGTTACTTTAAATATACATTCAAGTGTACGGAAAGTTTATGAAATATTCTAAATCCTTTATTGTCATTTCAACAATGTTCACAGCATCTTCACCAGGAGTAGATTCCATCTCAAGAAACCACTTTGCTAACCCATAAGAAGCAACTCCTCATCCATTCAAGTTTTGTCATGAGATTGCAGCAATTCAATCCCATCTTCAGGCTCCACTTTTAATTCTAGTTCTCTGTGTATATTGTATTCTCATTATGTGTAAACATAATTTTTTACATGCACTGGGAAATAAAAAATTAATGTGACTTGCTTTATTGCAATATTTGTTTTATTATGGTGGTCTGGAACTGAATCCACAGTATCTCCAAGATGCCTTGTGCTGTTTTACACTGATTTTCTGTGGCTAGGTTAGAAAGGCTTTGAATATCACTTATATGTCCAACAAATACACATATCATAAAATATTAATAAAACAAATATCTGTATATGTCACCCAGCCCAACAAATAGAAGATTATCTAACTCTTGAATGTGTGAATGTGTGAACTTATCTTCTTTCTTTCTCTTTCTTTCTCTTTCTTTCTTTTTCTTTCTTTCTTTCTTTCTTCTTCTTCTTCTTTTTTTTTTTTTCACAGATTTTCACTCTTGTTGCCCAGGCTGGAGTGCAATGGCATGATCTCGGCTCACTGCAACCTCCGCCTCCTAGGTTCAAGTGATTCTGCTGCCTCAGCCTCCCAAGTAGCTGTGATTACAGGTACCCCCCACACGCCCGGCTAATTTTTTGTATTTTTAGTAGAGATGGGGTTTCACCATGTTAAGCAGGCTGGTCTTGAATGCCTGACCTCAGGTGATCCACCCACCTTAGCTTCCCAAAGTGCTGGGATTACAGGCGTGGGCCACCGCGCCTGGCCAATGAACATATTTTCTTTTTTCTCAGAGGTAATATTGTTCTGCTTTTCGTGTTTATAATTTTTGTCACCTTCTTTTTTTGTCATTATAGTTTTGCTATACATATATCATATATGTAATACACATATATATGAAATCCCTAAATATATATTGTTTTAGTGTAAGTGATACCACCCTATGTGCCTTCTTTTGTCACTTCATCAACAACATTTATATATGTGAGTTTCTTCCATTTTGAGACATGTATTTCATTGCATAAACCATAATGTATTATTTAGTCATCACATTAGATAAATAAAGAACTCAGACCTTCTGAAGTGCAACCAAGGGTAAAGGGGACCATAAAAGGGATATTGGAGAAACAAGTTACAAATTTTGGCCTTTGATCAGCTACAGAATGAGTATTGTAATGGTTATATTTCATCTTGCCTTGTGTATGTCATATGTGTATGTAACTGATTACATTTTTACTTCATTTTTTCCTTTCCCCTGTTATTTTATATGGCATAGTTGGTAGTAGCTAAGATTATAAATTAGTCTATATGGTACTGGATATCAGCATAACATTTCAAATAAAACTAGTGAAGGAATGAACTGTGAAGAATTGCAAAAGGTATGAGATTTACCCTACTTGCAAGTTAACAGGTTAACCTGCCATCGTTTCATAGATGCTGATGGAAGACACAAGACTCCTGGGTCAGAGATGAAAGACAGTTTATTACTTATCAATTGCAACAGCCAGAGAATGAGCATTTTTGGTGTCAGTTCCCTGAGACACAATTCCCAGGCAACTCAAACAGGGCCGGATGGCATCTGTTCACGCAGTGAGTTGTGTTATAGGAAAGGAGCCCTAAGCTTAGTGAATCTTAATCTTTTATAGTGAACAGAAAGCATGCCTACTCTTTGCTCTGGAAGAGACACTATTTATATCATCCAAGGTTGTTCACTTATATACGTGTTCTCAAAAAGAATTAATATCAGAGATTAGAGACATTGTGTTAAATTCTGACTCCTACCATTGGGATATGACAAGAGAGTTTAGGTACCTCTGAGGAAGTATTACTAATGTGTACTTTGGTGCCAGGTGTAGTCATATCCACTAAGAACTTCTTTCCTCCTTAAGACATCAAAATACTTTAATAACGTCATTTATAGTGAAAAATTGCACCCCAGAAACTCAAGTTGCATTTGGTTGTTATGTCTCTTTGGTATTTTTTAATCTGAAACTACTCCCAATCCCTTTTTTACTTTTATGACCTTGATACTTTTGAATATTATGGCCATTTATTTTGTAGAACATACTTCATTGAAAAAAAGTGTTTCCTTATGATTAAATTCAGGTATCTTTGGCAGGATTAGCACAGAGTGATGCTGTGGTCTTCTGATTGGAAGGGAAGGGAAAGGAAGAGCAAGGGAGGAGAAAGAGGCAAGCATTCATTTTGTAAATTCTGATGGGTAGAGAATGCATTCCCTGAGACAAGGAGTTCTGGGAAAACTTCTATCCATAGAGTTTCTGAGATCTAGTTCTGACTTCTCTCATGACTGTGTGACCTTAGGCAAATCACTGATTTGGAAAGTATTTTATAAAATGGCAACTTATTAAGTTCTCAAGGTCATTAATAAAGTAATAGGTATGGAAAGTTCTTATAGCCAACATTAAACATGACGTTTTTGCATAAGCAAATAAGTCCCTGATTAGTGTCATAGATTATATAAAAACTCACTCATAAAAACTGTAACTACTTTGGTCAATTCTGATTACAAAAAAACCCAGTAACAACTGTAGCCAATATATATTGCCTTCTTAGAAAATTTAGAATTGAACATAAAATGTTTATTATTTTTTTCAGTCTACATATGTGTGAGCAATGAGCTTCATACTTACTTACCTTGTCTGATTTACTCAGATAAGATGAGCAGAGGTACAGAGCTAAATTCTTATACTTAGTGACATAAGATATCTTTTATCTTCTCTGCTTTCAAGAGAAAAATAAAGGCTTAAATACATGCAAAGTGAGGATGAGACACTACGGTTCTTATTGCTGGGAGTCAGTCTCAAGCCTAGCTGTTATTGGCAGTTGAAATATTTTCACCCTATGAAAATATACTGATCCAGGTGTCCTAGAAATAGTACTCTAGCTATAGGATGCTAAAAGAAAACTGAGGCAAAAACTGCAGCTCCCATAACATCTTTTGAGTGAGGAATAAGGCAATATTTAATTATGTCTAAAAATCCTACAAAGCTGTATTACTTTTAGAGACCAGGAAAAATGAGCCACATATATTTTAAAATGAACTATGGGTATTGAAGAAAAATGTACGGAAGTGAGTAAAATTCTCAACCACTAAGACTTTATTTCTCAAAAATAAATAAATAAACAACACAAAAACACAACCACCACCATGGAAATCTATTTGGGTGGAAATATCACATCTGATCATACTTATTGACTCATAAAGACAAGATTTGGAGTTATAGCCTATTTGAGTTATAGCCCTTTGTTACTCTGCAGCTCTATAGTGAGCTCATTGCCAGCAGATGGTAAAGCACTTTATGTTCTTAAGAGATAAACGGCGAAGGAGATTCTACATTGCCTCTCAAGAATTTGTTCAGTATATTACAACCCTTGCTGTCAGGAAACTATTCTTCATATTTAACTTAAATCCCAGAAGCCAAAGTTTAGATCCGTTTCCTTTGGTTTAGTCCTCAAAGGAGAGGTGGAGAACAGCTGGGAACCATCTGCATATCTCTTATAAATTAGATGGCTGAGGTCATCCCACAGTGTTCTCTTTTACTGGATAATGATCCCATTCATTTAGCCTGTCTCCCTATCACCTATTTTCAAACTCTTAATCATTTTAATTCACACCTGAAAATTATATGTTTTTCATGTTTCTCATAAATGGCGTACAAGACACTTCGATATTTGTACCAGAGTTGAGAATAATTTCTTTTCTCTGCTACATATATTATATCCACCTTTAAATAATATGGTGTATTTTCTAACATATCATTATCTGTATCCTTCATGCTGTTTTCTTTATAGCTAAGTCACACATTCTTCAACTTAAATATGTGCATTTTCTTCTTCTTCTGTATTTGTGTCACTTTAGGATCATAAATCTTATCGCTAAATTGAATTAAACTGAATTCTATTTTTTCTGACTAAGCCAAATATCCATTGCAGAGTGCAAATATCTTATTCTTCTATTTGAAATTACCTATGATTTTAATTTATATGCTCCACATTACATTCATGTGATTATCAAATACAATATGAAAAAAACAGCTTATTAAACATAGATCCTAGAAAATATTTGGCTTCCACGTCAATGTTACCTTTGATGACTGCTTCTTTTTCCTAGGAAAATATTTCCGCTGAGCAATAACATTAGCTTAGGCCAATCTTTAGGGACAACACACATACAGTCTGTGGACAGTGTTGATTTGCATTGTAGCTGCACTGAGTTTGTTCCTGTAGCATCATTTGCTTTGCCATTGTAGACAGATCAGAAATGGCTCACTGTGAGCTTGTGTCACTTGGCTTTAGTGTGTGCTAGCTTGCTCCACAACATAGTTTGGTAGGTGTATCTCACTCCTTCTTTTGCATGCCTCCAAACCATGGCCATGAGCTATCACCACCAAAAAATTTTCCTATCACCACAAAAAGCGATATGTGCAGAAAATTTGTTTATAGTCTTGACCAGAAACTGACTGAAAGAAGGGGCTACCACAAACATACTAAACTGTATTTTTTCTGGGGTCATGATTTTCATTCCTGTAGTGATCCTAATTCAAGGTAAGATAAACTATATCTATTCTAACCAGTTCTGTCATTCTGGTCTCCAAAAAAGTTAGGTTTGTCTCACAGGATGCTATTCTTCTCAGAGCCACGCTGTGTCTTATTTTATTGTTCCTAAGGTGTTCTCCAGTTGATTTTCTAATGATTAAATTTAGCTATTTGGAGGGAAGCTTTCCTTCTTAAAAAGAGGTAGCGCATTGGCTCTTGACTGACAAAATTTATAGTTAATGAAAAATACTTAATAAGGATTGGCATTTAAAAAGCTAAGGCAATAAAGTAAATTCTTTTTTTTTTTTCTTTTTTTTTTTTGAGACAGGTTCTCTCACTCTGTCACCCAGGCTGGAGTACAGTGGCACAATCTTGGCTCACCACAGCCTCGACCTCACAGGCTCAAGTGATCCTCCCACCTCAGTCCCCTGAGTAGCTGGGACTACAGGTGCCTGCCACCACACCTGGCTAATTTTTGTATTTTTTACAGAAACCAGGTTATACCATGTTGCCCAGGCTGGTCTCAAACTCCTGGACTCAAGTGATCCGCTCACCTCGCCCTCCCAAAGTGCTGGGATTACAGGCATGAGCCACCATGCTCAGCCTAATAAATCAATTCTTGATTAAAAATGCAAATATATATATACGTACATATATTTATATAACCTCATAGTATAAAACTCCCCAATGTAGTTCTCCATTCTCTTCCAAAAGCTGACACACAGAAAATGTTCTATTTTAAGTTGGTCATGAATTGATGATAGTTCCTCATTGCTCTGAATAAAAGAATAGTCTGCATCTTTGAGTGTTTATTCAGAAATACATTTCAAAAAAATGACTTAAAATAGTTTCCAATTTGAATATTGTTAAATTAAAAAAAATCAAACCCAAAATTTGCTGTTAGAAGATTTTCATTTAGACATGTCTCACTTGAACTTATAGTTCCCTTATGAAATTGGAAATCATTCCTAGTAGCGGTTTTCAAAATTATTTGCTTGCCTATTCTCTAAAGGATTTTTCATTCACTTATTTAACAAATATTTCCTATGCATCCTCTATAGACAGGTGCTATTCTACATTCTTGGAATACATCAGTAAACAAAATAAAACCAAGATCCAGCCTTCAAAAAGCTTACAGTCTAGTGAGAGGAAACAGATAATAAGCATAATAATTAAATTAAATAGTGTA